>NC_000003.12:88191818-88494848 GCF_000001405.40 Homo sapiens
ATAGAATATTTATAATATAGATATTTACATATGTATATAAAAGTGTTACCAGGAAGGAGTCCTGATCCGGACCCCAAGGGAGGGTTCTTTTTCTTGAATCTTACACAAGAAATAATTAGAGATGAATCCGTAAAGTGAAAGCAAGTTTATTAAGAAAATAAAGGAATAAAAGCATGGCTACTCCATAGGCAGAGCAGAGGCAGAGCATACTCCATAGGCAGCAGCCCTCAGGGCTGCTGGTTGACTATTTTATGGTTATTTCTTAGTTATATGCTAAACAAGGGGTGGATTATTCATGAGTTTTCCGGGAAAGAGATGAGCAATTCCAGGAACTGAAGGTTCCTCACCTTTTAGACCATATAAGGTAACTTCCTGATGTTGCCATGGCATTTGTAAACTGTCATGGCACTGGAGGGAGTGTCTTTTTGCATGCTAATGTATTATAATTAGTGCATATTGAGCAGTAGGATGACCAGAGGTCATTCTCATGGCCATTTTGGTTTTGGTGGGATTTGGCCAGCTTCTTTACTGCAAGGTGTTTTATCAGCAAGGTCTTCGTGACCTGTATCTTGTGCTGACCTCCTATTCCATCCTGTGACTAAGGATGCCTAACCTCATGGGAATGCAGCCCAGTAGGTCTCAGACTCATTTTACCCAGCCCCTATTCAAGATGGAGTTGCTCTGCTTTAAACACCTCTGACAAAAGGAGATTTATTATGGGGAATTGGCCCATGAAGGTTGAGAAGTCCCATGACCTGCCATCTGCAACCTGGAAGCAGAAAAGCTGGTGGTGTAATTCAGTTCCAGGGCAGGGTAAGATGAAATGAAATGCGTCAGTTCAAATAGTGAGGTAGAAAAAAAAGTGTGAAAGGGTGAAATTTCTCCATCCTCTGCCTTTTGTTGTATTCAGCCTCTTAACAGACAGAATGATGCTCAGCTACATTGCGGAGGGTCATCTGCTTTACTGAGTTCACTCATTCAAATGCTAATCTCAACGGGAAACACCCTCCCAGGAATATCCAGAAACCATGTTTAATCTGGGCACCCTGTAGCCCATTCAAATTGACTTACAAAATTTACCACATTTTTTAGAAAATATAGGGTAAGAGTTTCACTATCTCTCTAAGTAGTTCATTTAATTTGGGAGCAAGTATAATTATTAAAAGTTCTTTATTTTTAAAACAAATCTCTGATAGAGTTTATTGGACCCTTAAGTACTTTAAAAGTATATATATATATATTTTATTTTTAATAGAGAAGGGATTTGCTAGCAAAACAATTATACTTTTGTTACATCTAACACAATTAAAAAGGGAGACATAGATTAAGTAATTGTTGAGAAAATTATGGTTGTTTTGGTTGGATGAATGGTAAATGGGGAACATTATATTCTTTATTTTTTAATTTGTTTGGAAAGTTTCCCAATAAAATGATGTTTTATTACCAGTGTGAAAGGAAAATAAAGTATTACCAGTGTAAAAGGAAAATAAATCTTGGCACCCCCAAATCACTAAGCCAAAGTGAAAAATTCTGGAAACTGTGCTGTCGGGCAAACCAGCCTCCCATTCTGTTCCTAAATATAATAGCTACAAAGATTTTTTAAGAAAGCTACATACCTCCCTCGCAATTTATCCACAAGGAATTTCCTTGTGGACAAAGGACAGACAGAACTCAAAAGTCATCCCTCTGCTCACTGAGATAAATGCATATTTTCCTGTGAAAGGAAAATAAATCTAGGGACCCCAAAATCACTAAGTCAAGGGAAAAGTCAAGCTGGGACCTGCATCGGGCAAACCTGGTTCCCATTTTATTCCTAAACAAGATAGCTACAGAGGTAAGAAGCTACATAATCCTTCACAATTTGCTCACAAGAAAATTCCTTGTGGACAAAGGACAGACAGAACTCAGAGTCATCCCTCTGAGGCTCACCTAAGACAGGAGCATTTCTGATTGCTTCCTCTGCCCTATTGCTTATGTAAAACTATAGATTCACTGAGCCAGACTAAGTCATGTATTCAGTGGAAGGCTGATCAAAGACTCAAAAGAATGCAACCTTTCCTCTCTTACCTACTTCTGACCCAGAAGCCCCCACTTCAAGTTGTCTGGTCTCACCAGCCTAAACCAATGTTCATCTTACACATATCGATTGATATCTCATGTCTCCCTAAAAATGTATAAAAGCAAGCTGTACCATGACCACCTTGAGGACATGTCAAGACCTTCTGAGGCTGTATCATGGGCACGTCCTTAACCTTGGCAAAATACACTTGCTAAATTGAGACCTGTCTCAGATATTTTGAGTTCATACTTTCTTTGCCTTATTGCTGCATTAAGCCAGACTAAGGCATAAGTGACTATTCTTGTAAATTGTGTATTCAGTAAAGGCCAATCAGAAATTCAAAAGAATGCAACCATTTGTTTCTTACCTACCTATGACTTGGAAGCCCCCTCCCCGCTTCAAGTTGTCCCACTTTTCTGGACTAAACTAATGTATATCTTACATATATTAATCGATGTCTCATGTCTCCTAAAAATGTATAAAACCAAGCTATGCCCCGACCACCTTCAGCACATGTCATCAGGACCTCCTGAGGCTGTGTCATGGGCATGCATCCTTAACTTTGACAAAGTAAACTTCCTAAATTGACTGACACCTGTCTCAGATATTTTGAGTTTACACTAGAAATAGCCATAAGAAAGTGTATATATTTCATATAAAACAATCTTTTGTTGAGTGAAAATCTGCCATTTTGTAATTCAAACACATTCCATCCACTCGGAAAGTGGTTCTCAAGCTTAATGTGCATTGAGGTCACCCGGAGGGCTTATTGTAACAGATTGCTGACTGCCCCCACCTCCCAGGAAATTTGCATTTCTTAGTTCCAGCATTAATATAATGCTACTGTCTAGGAACTCACTTTGAGAACCACTGGCTCATGTCGCTCTATGGACAAAAACACTGTGCAAACCCAAGTACCTGAAAAAAAATTACTGAGTGCCATCAGGGGTAGGTAATGACAAGGCTTGCGGTGATCAAACAAGAAATGAGCAACAAGTCAGGTCTTATTCCATCCGCTCATGCATCCCTTTACATTTCCAAATACAGATACACAGGAACTTTACACCACCTGCCCACCTGATGTGAGCTTTTGACTAGGTGTAAGTACAGATTTCATACATGAACTAGTGACTTCTACCATAGGAAATGGGAATTGAAAATACTTTTATTGGTATAGTAAAACCCAATTATTCTGGTATCTGAATTCAGCAGGGATAGATACCATAATTGTGGTAGGATGGTAACTCTTCCTGGATTGACAAGGTTGACATCTCTCTAGGCCCAGTAATATTTTAGCACCTATATTTGCTATGCACTTTTACTCCTAGAAACTCATTTACTAGCCTGGAAGATGTAGATAATAATAAAATTTAGAAATAACATGTACATTTTTAACTTTTCAATTGCTCAAAGATTTGAAGGGCATTTTCTCTTTATGGTAGCCTCAAATCAAAATCCAGAAAGAATTGACTTTACTAATATTTGGCAAAGTATGTAAAACACTGATCTTAGGAATCATTTGGGTTAAGGACATCTTGAAGAGAATTTGGTTCCCTCATCAAATATGTATTGAGCTCTTTTTTTTTTTTTTCTTTTTTTTTTGAGACAGAGTCTTATTCTGTGGCCAGGATGGAGTGCTATGGTGCGATCGCGGCTCACTGCAACCTCTGCCTCCCGGGTTCAAGTGATTCTCTTGCCTCAGCCCCCCAAGTAGCTGGGATTACAGGCATGCAACACCACACCTGGCTAATTTTGCATTTTTTGTAGAGACGGGGTTTCTCCATGTTGGTCAGGCTGGTCTCAAACTCCCTACCTCAGGTGATCCGCCTGCCTCGGCCTCCCAAAGTGCTGGGATTACAGGCGAGAGCCACCGCGCCCAGCCTGAGCTCTTTTTATGTGTAAGATACTGTGTTAGGCATATGTGTTACCGGAAAGGGGTCCGATCCAGACCCCAAAAGAGGGTTCTTGGATTTCATCCAAAAAGTATTTAGGACGAGTCTGTAAAGCGAAAGCAAGTTGATTAAGAAAGTAAAAGAATAAAAGAATGGCTACTCCACAGGCAGAGTAGCCCCAAGGACTGCTGGTTGCCCATTTTTGTGGTAATTTCTTGATTATATGCTAAACAAGGGGTGGATGATTCATAAGTGTTCCAGGAAAGGGGTGGGCAGTTCCCAGAACTGAGGGTTCCTCCCCTTGTTAGACCATATAGGGTGATTTCCTGATGTTGCTATGGCATCTGTAAACTGCCATGGTGCTGGTAGGAGTGTAGCAGTGAGGACGGCCTAAGGTCACTCTTGCCACCATCTTGGTTTTGGTGGGTTTAGCTGGCTTCTTTACTACAACCTGTTTTTATCAGCGAGGTCTTTATGAACTATATCTTGTACCAACCTTCTGTCTCATCCTGTGACTTAGAATGTCTAACCTCCTGGGAATGCAGCCCAGTAGGTCTCAGCCTTATTTTACCCAGCCCCTGCTCAAAAGGGAGCTGCTCTGGTTCAAATGCCTCTGACATATGCAGTATGTATGCAAACACAAAGAGATATGGTGCTTTTCACCTGGTACCAGTTAGTAAGCAAGACATAATATGTATATAAGTAGCTTCAGATTACTTTCCATACCCAGAGAGTTCCGTAAAAGATTCTGGTTACTGAATTTAAAAGTACTCAACATCTGAAAATAAAGCTTTTGGATATTCTCAAATCTACATCCTCATTTCTTTCCTGTCACACCTAAGCTTCTGGAAGGTGTACTCAGTATTTGTTTCCTTTTCTTCCTTATCTCCTGTTTACTTCTCAACTTACTGCAATTTGGCTTCTGTTCCAACACCTCAGCTGAAAATTCTTCCCAACAAGGTTATTAGTGAACATTTTAACTGAAAATTAAAAAAATAAACTTTAGAGAATTTTATATTTCTAAATTTTTGCTAACTTGGTAGGGTTGGCAGATTTTCTCAAAAGTTTTCATTTCTTTGAAGTCAATGGCACCCTACTCTCCTACTTCCTTCATTCTAAAGTAACTATGGTGAGTAATGGCAGTAACCTAATCTGTTGAACCTATTTTATTTTTATATCACTGAAAGTTTAGTACAGTACAGGTTTGATGTCCTCCAGGAGAAATTAGGACAGTCGGCAATGAGACTTAAAGAGAAAATGAATTCTGGTTGTTTTCTTTATGTACATATTTTAAAAAGACATTCCGGGAAAGAAAAAATGAGGAGAATGTAGGAGGATTTACATGCTAAAGGAGCTTACAGTCTTTTGGATAATATGTAATCAAATAACCATACGATTAGGAAATTTAAAGTACATTCTGTAAAAGAAGTAGCAATACTCTGGGGATGCTAAGGTGGGGAGATTGTTTGAGCCCAGGAGTTCAAGACCAGCGTGGGCAATATGGTGAAACCCTGTCTCTACAAAAATAAAAAAATTAACTGGATGTACCTGTAGTCTCAGCTACTCAAAAGGTTGAGGTGGGAGGATCACTTGAGTCCAGGAGGTTGAGGCTGCAGTGAGCTATGATGGTAATGCTGCAGTCCAGCCTGGGCGACAGAGCAAAACCCTGTCTCTATTACAAAAAAAAAAAAAAAAAAAAAAAAAAAAAAAAAAAAAAAAGTCAAGTGCTATTTAGGTTTTCTTTTCTGCAAATATGACCAACAAGACATTTAAAATCCTTTACTCTTTCAAGAGTATTGATTTATCTTTATGCATGTTATAATTTAAGAATGGTCTCAAAAATAAATGGAACTTAAAATTTCTAGAACATAAAAGAAAAGAGGAAATATGAAATTAACAGAAAATGGGGTTAAAATTCATGAAGGAAGTGGGAAGTAAATTGTCAGAAAGCACAAAGTAAATTGTTAGCAATAAGTTTAAATATATTGTTAGTTATGATAAGATAAATAGACTGAATTTCAAGTTAACATAAAGAGATTGTCAGACTTAATAGAAAAAATTTTAGCTGTTAGTACCACTCATGATCCGTATGAAAAAAAAAAACATCTCAACTCCTATAGCAAACACTTCAATATATATGGTTTAACAAACTAAATGTGAAAAATAAAATTTTTAGTCTCTTAGAAGAAAATAAAGGAGTAAATAAAAGACAAGAAATATAAGTATTTTTAAAATTAGGCAAAACAGCATAATCACAAGAAAAATCAGCATTTTAAAAATTAGACAAAGAAGCATAAATCAAAAGGGAAATATTGTTAAATTTACAACACATGTGTAAAATGATTCAATTTGTATGAAGGATAATTAGACACTCAATAAATATTAACTATCTTAAAGTAAATTAAAACAAAGACCAGGTCCAAAGAATCCCTGAACAAATAAAGCCCAAGTTCTCATAATTGACCTGAACTTTGCCTGCTTTGCAAATGTAAGAGAAACTTAACTTGGGCTATTTATTGTAATTGCTTTTATTAGGAAAAACAAAACTTAAGCTTAACCAACCAGAAGCAGCCAACTAGCTTATGTTACTAGGGACTTTCCAACGGGATAGAACAAATAAGGAAACTTTGTAACTGTAACTCATCAAAAGTTTCTTTAAGTCTATATTCTTTATAAACTTAATAAATCCTTTAAAATCCTTAATAAAGACTTTAAAATCTTGTCTTGAACACTTCTTCAACAGAGCACAACACTTCTTTCAGTTTGGAGCTGCCTGATTCATAAATAACTGTTTGCCAAAATAGACTCTTAATTTTTTTTTTTTTTTTTTTTTTTTGAGACAGATTCTCGCTCTGTCGCCCAGGCTGGAGTGCAGTGGCGCGATCTCGGCTCACTGCAACCTCTGCCTCCCGGATTCAAGTGATTCTCCTGCCTCAGTCTCCCGAGCAGCTGGGACTACAGGCACGCGCCACCACGCCCAGTTAATTTTTGTATTTTTAGTAGAAACCGGGTTTCACCATACTGACCAGGCTGGTCTCGAGCTCCTGACCTCGTGATCCACCCGCCTCGGCCTCCCGAAGTGCTGGGATTACAGGGTTGAGCAACCCCGCCCGCCCGATTCTTTAACATTATTGCACTTCAGTTTACCTTTTAACAGCAATAATAGTATTATTTTAAAAAATTGTATGTATCTGAAGAAAACATAATAAAATAATTACAAAGATAAGCCAAGATTAAATGAAGATATTTGAAAGTATAAAAGTGATAGCATCCAGAACTTTAAAAACCTCTTAAAATATATGTAAGAAAAAGACAACACAATGGAAAAGTTGGTAAAATATAAGAACAAGAGTATATAGAAGAAGAAAGAAGTGACTAATAAGCTCCTTTGACTATATATATAATCTGTAAAGTATAAATTAAAACTACAGTGAGAAACAAGTTGTATCACTCAGATAAACAAAAATTCAGAAGCCAGGAAAATACCAAGTTTTGGTGAAAAAGGGAAGCAATGGGAACAGTTTTCTGATGTTAGAAATGAATACTGAAAGACATCTTACAACTCAGTAATTTATCATCTAGTTATATAAACTCAGAAAAAACTCTGAAATGATGCACAAAGAAATAATTTTAGTGATATTGTTTGTAATAGAAAAAAGCGGAAGTAATTGAAATATCCATCAACAAAGTTTCTCTGTGTAGTTGTGTATAAGAAGTATGAAGAGGAATTTGTGTAGCAAATAAAGAATTTAAATTGTATACTATGACAGTGGAATACTCTCTATTAGTAAAAATAAAAGAGTTAGGATTACATGTATCAGCAAGGTTTAATGTTGAGTTAATCATCTCCCTGCCCCATCCCTCCTAAAATCCTCCTAAGCTGTAAGGTAACATAGATAACATGACATCATTTCAACAAGTTAAAAAAATTATATTTATAATTTTTATTATTTATAAATTTTATTTTTTAAATTTATAAATTAAAAATAATATATTAAAATATATTATTTAGGGTATATATGTAAACAGCAAAATTATAAAGAATTCACATGAATGGAAAATATCAAAATTATGGTCATGTTTACCTCTATGAAAGAGGGAGAGAAATTATTTTGGGGAAGGGTACACTGAGATCCCCAACTATGTTTTAAATTCTTTATTTGTTAGTTATATTCCACTCTGTAAAATATTTCAAAATATGTTTTATTAGTGACTATTAGAGTTGGGTGGTGGATAGGGAGGCCAACTTTGGCTGGAGGGAATCAAGGAAGACAACAGGCTGGTCAAGGAAGCAAAGAGATGAAGCTGCCTTCACGCAGAGATGGGCGTGAAGAGGCACGACATGGTAAAGAGGCACCATGAGCTTCTGCCTTTGAGTAAACTCAAAGAATGTGAGAATGGCCCAGTTCCACTGGAACATGGAGACTGGTAGAGAATAAGCTTTCAGAAAAGCCTTTAAGTATTAGGGTTTTCTGTTTTGTTCATATACAATGGGAAGACATTTAGGGATTTTTAGCATAGAATTACATGAATTGGTTTGTGATTTAAAAATACTTAAATGATATCAAGTAAGTCAAGCCTTGAGATATAACAATGCTGAGTCTGGTATGATGCACACTTAGGGAACTACTACAATATTCCAGGCAAGAGACAATGGAGAGGTAACCATGGCTAGAATGATGGCACCAAAAAGCGGGAAAGAAAAGATGGGAGTGAGAAATAGAAATAGTATTGAGATAAGAACAAGAAAGATCAGGGTGTGGGAAAGACATGAGTGTTAGTCTGTTTTGCAGTGCCATGCAGGAATACCCGAGGCTGGGTACTCTATATATTAAAAAAAGAGTTCTTTGGCTCATAGTTCTACAGCCTATACAGGAAACATAGTGCTGGCATCTGTTTCTGGTGACAGCCTCAGGAAGTTTCCAGTCATAGCTGAAGTCAAAGGGGCAGCGAGTGTATTACTTGGCAAGAGAGAACACAAGAGAGAAAGGAGGGAGGTCCCAGTCTCAAAACAATCAGCTCTCTTGTGAACTAACAGAGTGAGAACTCGTTCATTACCATGGGAAGGCACCAAGCCATTCATGAACAATCCAGTCCCATAACCCAAATATCTCCCACCAGGCCCCACTTTCAACACTGGGGATCTCATTTCAATATGAGATTTGGAGGGGACATACATCCAAACTATAACAGCATATAAGATTCTTAGATAACTCTAAGCTTTTGAGGTGAAATGGTGGAATAGTTACAGTGTTAATAGAAACAAATATCTGGATACACTGGTTTTGAAAAGAAAGATAATGAGTTAAGCTTTAAACATGAGTTTGGTACAATCCCAACAGAGATACTGAGAAAGTAACTGAGAACCATGTATCTGCTCAATGGTGATATTAGAAGTTATATAGTTATAATTCCATCCAAAGGAAAAATGAAGAAAATACTGGTGGGAATAGAACCTTCTGGAATGATTATCTTTAATGATTTGTAGGTCGCTGGTACTTATTGAGAGAGTGGTTTTAACAGAATGTGGTGTGCCGTTAAAAAGTACTCGAGTTCTAGGTATAACTTAGTTTCGAAACAGTATTTCTAAGGCTATTTTAATTAATTGTGACATTTGGTTCCAATTTTTGATTGTTTTTTACTTCCCTTCCTATTTATCACTCTTTCAGAGATTTTTCTCACCTCCTGGGCATTTACCAAACAATTGTTTCCAGAAATAGTCACAGGATGAATGAACTGTATTCAAACAGTCTAGTTTCATTTTTTCCATTGACAGAGGCATCTTCCAAAGTTTCTGGGTTTTAGATACGACTTTGCTACAGTGATTTTAGTGATAATGCCTAATATGTTTATTTATTTTAGCTACGTCCGTTGAATTAATGGAATTAGTTTACTTTTTTCTTTTTAACTAGTCATCAGTCTTTCAAGCACATAATGTAGCTAGTCCCGCAGATACAACAATATCACTTGGTATTTCATGTACTGAAGTCCTTTATCTGGAACATTTATATGATCTAATTCATGTCTTTACAGACATGCTTTCTCCTTAAAGTAGTGCTCTAAAATTGTCGTAATGAATCCTAAATATTTGGCATTTAGTTTAAACATTTTTATTTGCTCAGTTATAGGCCAGGTGCAGTAGCTGACCCCTGTAATCCCAGCACTTAGGGAGGCTGAGGCAGGAGGATCACTTGAGCCCAAGAGTTTGAGACCAGCTTTGTCAACATAGCAAGAACTAGTCTCTACAAAATATTAAAATATTAGCTGGGTGTGGTGGTGTGCATCTGTAGTCCCAGCTACTCAGGAGGCTGAGGTGGGAGGATCGCTTGAGCCTGGGAGGTCAAGGCTGCAGTGAGCTATGATGGCACGACTTTGCCCCAGCTTGGATGACAAAGTGAGACCCTGTCTCAAATAAATAAATAAAATAAAAGATGAAAATATATATTTGCTCAATTACGATGTTCACATGCAGAATAATCATAAAATCTTAAATCTAGAAGAGGCTTTGGAGAAAATTAATGCACATCATTTGACACAGGAGGAATAAGAATCTCAGAAACATTAGGAGACTAGGTAAAAGTCACATGGCATGTTAACACATGGTACATGATTGAATGTTATATAGTTACAAGGACAAACACATAAGTTACTTGCCTATTTCAGTCATTCTAAATACTAGATTTTCATTATGGACATCATATTAGGAACTGATGAGAAATCATCAAGCGATAACATTGTTCTTGTCCTCTAGAACACACATACCTGGGGAAAATCTTTGCTGTGCCATCTGTAGAATCTAACATAGAGACTGGGCATGGTGGCTCACACCTGTAATCCCAGCACTTTGGGAGGCTGAGATGGGTGGATCTCTTGAGGCCAGGAGTTTGAGACCAGTCTGGCCAACATGGTGAAACCATGTCTCTACTAAAAATACAAAAATTAGCCAGGCGTGGTGGAGCACACCTGTAACTCCAGCTACTTGAGACACTGAGGCAGGAGAATTGCTTGAACCCAGGAGGCAGAGGCTGCAGTGAGCCGAGATGGCACCACTATACTCCAGCATGGGTGACAGAGAGACTTTGTCTCAACAACAACAACAACAAGAAAAAGAATCTAACATAGAAAGTTGTCAGTGCTGGATGAAGGAAAAATGATTAAATGATTTTCATCAATGAAATGCCTTTTCTTCATTACATGATAAGATTAGCAACAGAAAAGCCAATCAAGGGATTTTATAGATTAATATATTTGAAATAAAGCAGTTAAACCCATCATCAAGTGCCAGTTGCTGTGAGAGTTCACTTCAAACAAAATAAATTGCTGCCATTTTATTGTCAAAAAGGCATGATAGGAGGATTGGAAAATTCAGCTGTTTTCCCCCCTTTTTTCTTCATTTAGGAAATGACTATACTTCTCACTCAATGCCAGAAAAAGAGGGTTATCTACAAAGGCACCTTGAAGCTAGTATATATGAAAACAGTAAATCTTAGATATTCAATCTAATGGCACAAGGTTTTGAAAAATACTGCATACGATTTAAACTTAACTCAGATTAGCATCTTAGGTTATTGAAGATCAGATAAATTTGGGGGGAAGTAAGTAATGGTTAATAAAGGAACTTAGTGCTAGAATAGCGGAAGAGAGATGTAGTATCGTTTCCCGTTGTACAGTGTAGTTTTCATTTTTTTTCCTTCTAAATAATTTATTTTAATTGAAAAATTGCTTTTGGTTATGTGTGGGATAAAAGGTATGGACCATTAGAAAAGAAACCACAGTAAACTGTGCCAACATTATATTAAGCCACCATGATTGAGGGACACGAATACAGTTTTGGACTAAGATTAATTTTCAGGGGACTATTTAAATTAGTTCTGTTTAGTGTTGAGTAAATGCTTGGACATTTACCCTTACGGCCTGAAAACCATGTATTCCCACAGAGTAGTAAACGATTCTGGATCTGGCCACAGTGTGGCGATGTTGCAGCACAGATTCACCTTGCCCTGCTGAAGGACTGCTGAGTTCTCACACTTGAAACATGAATTTCCACTGCCTGCGCTGACTTTCCTTTCCATTTAATAATACCTTATGATAAACTAGGGTTTTTATTTTCTAGCATAATTTCATAAGTGTGTGTGGCACACTTCTGTTGTTGTTGGTAGAGAACTTTAGAATTTGTATGCATCTGGCACCTCTAAATGTTCACATGTAACATGATACTTTTAACTGTTGTATCCTCCATACTCTAACAGGGAATCCATGTACCATCGCAGTTTCTCACTCATTTGTGGGATCTAAAATTCAAAACAATTAAACTTATGGACATAGAGAGTAGAAGGATGGTTACCAGAGACTGGGAAGGGTAGTGGGGGGCTGAGAGGGTGGTGGGGATGATTAATGGGTACAAAAAATAGTTAAAAAGAATGAATAAGCCCTACCATTTGATAGCACAACAGGGTGACTGTAGTCATTAATAGTTTAATGGTACATTTAAAAATAACTAAAAGAGCATAATTGGAGTGTTTGTAACACACAAGATAAATGCTTGAGAGGATGGATACCCCATTCTCCATGGTGTGCTTATTTCACATCGCATGCCTGTATCAAAACATTGTATGTACCCCATAAATATATACATCTACTATGTAATCACAAAAATTAAAAATAAAAAAGTTTGAAAAACAAACAAGGAATTTATGTAATGCTAAATAAACCAATTTCAATATATAATGCTTTTGAAGGATCCACTTGGACATATGGAATAATAGCAAATACCACCACAGTTCGTGAGTTTCATCCAAGAATGAAATGACACTTGTTGTAAACAGCATTCATGAATTCATGTGCAAAGCTAGCTGTTCATTCACTCCACAAATGTGAAGTGCCTACTCTGTGCCAGACACTCTTTCTGGATATGCAGAGATAGACAAAATATACTTGATACTTGCGTAGTGGAGCAGAGTGACATTAAAAAGCTATAATAACAAATCCATAATTACTACCTGTGGTTAACTTAATGAAGATACATTGAAATAGTATAAGCTGATTCAGATGGGAAGAGAGGAGAGAGGGAGATGAAAAGAAGGCTAACCAGGTAAAGAACGTTTCCAGGCAGAAAGAACAGCATTTGAGTAGGTTCTGAGGGGAGTTTGGCCAAATCAAGAAACTGAAACAATGTTACCAAGTTAATAGGGCTTAAACGTTTCTGAGAAGGGTGGAAGGAGAGTAGCAGACGACTTGCTGGATTAGCAGGGGCCAAAACAACCAGGCCCATCCATGAGTGAAATGACAAGGATCATAGATTTTATTCCTAGTCCTGTGGGAAGCTGTTGGAAGGTTTATGAGAAGGAGAGCAAGAAGATCAGGTTTTTTTGTCATACTATAAACTATGTAAATTCCAATCCTAACATTAAAATCTTTAAGGATTTTTTATGAGCTTTATTTTTTCTTTGGTTTTATATTTTTTTCCCAAGAAAACCTTGGACATGGGATGCTTGAAGTGTAAGGTATAGAGCTTTTCAGTTAAAGCGTGCACACACACACATACAAACACACACACACTCACTCCCTTGAAAATGTATTTGATTCTGGTGATAATGTTCTACTTTTATATTGCAACATCACTCGCCATTCACCATTGAGTTTGTGTAATTTGATAGTTGAAAAGAATTTACCTTTATCTAAAAAAGAATTAGTATAGTATTAAACTGTATTTTTTCAATGTTTATTATATTTACCATTCAGGAGGAAAAAAGAACCAAAAACCCCTCAAACATTGTGTTCAATATATAATTGGAAGGAATATAGGTCCTTTAAGCTCAACGGAATATCTTTTGGCACAGTGAGGAAGCCTAGGCCCCTCCCTTATCGAATGAATTTGCTACATCACTGCGCAGACTATTTTCCAGGCTTACGCAGTGTCCGAGAATTCCAGTACATTTCTTACCACACAGTGTGTCTTGTAGAGTGATGGTTACGTGTTGAAGTGACTGAGGGTTCATCAGAATTGGTTACATGTCTTTTTGGTGAGCTAAATACCATCTACACTAATCTGCTGCAGAGCTAGAACTTAAATGAACAACAAAGAGAATAATGTATAGTAGATATTAATGATAAGAATAAAATGACTCCACTTGCAATCTACCATCAGGAGAGAAAGTAGATCATTTACAGAAATAGATGCGTGAGAAATTTGTTTAAAATAAACAGGTCTGACTGGATGGGTAGGTCATGCTTGTAATCACAGCACTTTGGGAGGCCAAGGCCATGGATCACTTGAGAACATGAGTTCGAGACCAGCCTTGGCAACAGGGCAAAACCCTGTCTGCAAAAATATTAGCCGGGGGTGGTGGCCGTAATCCCAGCTACTTGTGAGGCTGAGGGAGAATCATTTGAGCCCAGGAAGCAGAGGTTACTGTGAGCTGAGATTGGGCCACTGCACTCCAGCCTGCCTGACAGAGCCAGACCTTGTCTCAAAAACAAACAAACAAACAGGTTTAGGGTGATTAATTGATTAACGTTTTTTAAAACTATATTTTAAAGAAATTAAATTTGAGATAAAGGTCTTTTGTATTTACCCACATATTTACTGTCTTAGCCCGTTTAGTATTTCTATTAAGGTATCTCTAAGCCTGGGTCATTGTTACAAAGAAAATAAGTTTATTTGGCTCATGGTTCTTCAGGCTTGTACAAGAAGCATGGCGCCAGCATCAGCATGTGGTGAGGACCTCAGGCTGCTTCCACTCATGGTGGAAAGAGAAGGGAAGCTGGTGTGTGCAGATCGTATGGTGAGAGAGGAAGCAGGAGAGAGGGGAGGAAGGCACGAGGCTCTTTTTTTTTTTTTTTTTTTTTTTTTTTTTTTTTTTTGAGACGGCGTTTCGCTCCGAGGCTGGAGTGCAATGGAGCGATATCGGCTCAGTGCAACCTCCGCCTCCCGAGTTCCTGCCATTCTCCGCCTAGCCTCCGGAGTAGCTGGGGTTACAGGCATGAGCCACCACGCCCGGCTAATTTTTGTATTTTTAGTAGAGACGGGGTTTCTCCATTTTGGTCAGGCTGGTCTTGAATTCGCGACCTCAGGTGATCCACCAGCCTCATGGATCCCTCAGGTGATCCACCCGCCTTGTGTAATCCCTCCCAAAGTGCTGGGATTACAGACGTGAGCCACCGCGCCCAACCTAGGAGGCTCTTTTTAACAACGAGCTCTTTAGGAACTAATAGAGCCAGAACTCACTCATTCCTTTCTCCCCAGCAGGGAGGGGACTTAATTTATTCATGAAGAAATCATCCCATTCCCTAAACACCTCTCCTTAGGCCCCACCTCCGGCATTGGGGATCAGATTTCAACATGAGATGTGGAGGGGACAAACATCCAAACTGTTGCACTAATCACTTTCGATGCTCTTCTTGCCTTAGCGTAGATTCACGTTTTCATCTAGTATAATTTTTTTTTCTGTCTGTAGAGCTTCCTTTATCGTTTTTTCCTACTTCATGTCTGTTCGCTATGAATTTTCTCAGCTATTCTTTAAAAGAAGTTCTTCATTTCACTTTTAATTTTGAAAGATATTTATTGTAAGTATAGAATTCTACGTTGATTGTTTTTTCTTTTGGCATTTTAAAGATGTAGCATCATTCTCTTATTTCTGATAATTCTTATCTTCCCCCTGCCATCATGTCTTTTCCCCATCTTTGGCTGCTTTTAAGGTTTTCCCTTTATCACTTGTTTTCAGCAATTTAATTATAATAATCTCAGAGTAGTTTTCTTCAAAAAATTTTTTTTTGCTTGGGATTTGTTAAGCCTTTTTTTTTTTTTTTTTTTTTTGAGGCGCAGTTTCACTCTTGTTGCCCAGCCTGGCGTGCAATGGCAAGAACTTGGCTCACTGCAACCTCCACCTCCCAGGTTCAAGCAATTCTTCTGCCTCAGCCTCCCGAGTAGCTGGGATTACAGGCATGCACCACCAGGTCTGGCTAATTTTGTATTTTTAGTAGAGATTGGGGTCACACCATGCTGGCCAGGCTGGTTTTGAACTCCTGACTTCAGGTGATCCACCTGCCTTGGCCTCCCAAATTGCTAGGATTACAGGTGTGAGCCACTGTGTTGGGCCTAAGCTTTTTGAATCTCTGGGTTTATAGTTTTTTTTGAATCAAATTTGAGAAAAATTCTCCAATTATTTCTTCAAATATTATTTTCATTCCACACCTCTTTCCACACTTCCTTTTTTTGAGACTCCAGTAACATGTAGCTTCGACTGCTTGATATTGTACCACAGGAAAGTGACGCTCTATTCATTGTTTTTTTCCAGTTTAATCTGCTGTCAACCCTACCAGTGAAATTTTTATTACAAATAATGTACTTTTCATTTCCATCTCATTTGATTACTTTTTACATCTCCCTTTTCTTTCCTTATTATAGTTATGTTCTTTTAAACTCTGAGCATTTTTTTTTTTGAGACAGAGTCTCTCTCTGTTGCCCAGGCTGGGGTGCAGTGGCACGATATGGGCTCACTGCAAGCTCGGCCTCCCGGGTTCAGGCCATTCTCCTGCCTCAGCCTCCTGAGCAGCTGGGACCACAGGCGCCCGCCACCACGCCCGGCTAATTTTTGTATTTTTAGTAGAGACGGGGTTTCACCGTGTTAGCCAGGATGGTCTCCATCTCCTGACCTCGTGATCCACCCGCCTTGGCCTCCCAAAGTGCTGAGATTACAGGCGTGAGCCACTGTGCCCAGCCAATTCTGAGCATATTTATAATATTCATTATAGCTGTTTTAAAGTTTTTGTCTAGTAATTTAATCATCTCTGTAATTCCTTGGTCACTTTATATTGATTATTTTTTCTGGGTTAAGGTTTATATTTTTCGCATGTTTAGTAATTTTTTATTAGATGCTAGATATTGTAAATTTCTCATTGCTGAGTGCTGAATTTTGTTGTATTCCTTAAATAGGTTCTGTGCTTTGTTCTGGCAGGCAGTTACATTACTTACAAATAAGTGTGGTCCTTTAAAGGCTTGTTTTTAAGCCAAATTGTGGTGGGTAAATGTAGCTATTCTCTAGGACTAGTTTATCCCCATTATAAAGAACAGTCTTTTCTGGGGATGCTAAAGAATGCCTAGTATATTAGTCTATTCAAGCTGCCATTAAAAAATACCATAGACTAGATGGCTTAGGCAACAAAGATTTATTTTCTTGTAGTTCTGGAGTCTGGAAGAACAAGGTGCTGGCAAGGTTGGTTTCTGATGAAGCCTTTCGCTATGTCCTCACACAGCCTTCTCTCTGTGCACTCTGAGGGAGAGAGAAAGATGAAGAGAAAGAGAGAAAAAACTCTACAGTGTCTCATCTTTTTCTTGTAAGGAAACCAATCCCATTCAATTATGGATTATCACAGATTAAAAAGAATACTTCCTTACTTAAAATCTTTTAAAGGATCCGGAGTGACTTATGAGGTGAAGTTCCGTTTCTTTCTTTCTTCTTTTTTTTTTAGTGTGGCATTCAGGTCCTTTTAGGATGACCCTCTCCCTGTCCAGTCTCTCTAATCAGTTTTGTCTCCCAAACCCAATTCATCTGCTGTCCTATTAATGCTACAGGACTATTGTGAGAATCAAATAAAATAATAAGGCAAATTTTCTATAGCTGTTAGTATTACATTCCTCTATCATTTAAGACTCAGCTTAAAATCCTCCACTGTGAGACTTTCTCAGATATGTTATCTATAATGTCTTCTTCTGAACATCACAGCATGCTTACTATGTCTCTTACACAGTATTTAAGCAGCAAATGAATGATCTGTTTCAGGGGAATGCAAACTATTGCTCAGAGGCCAAATCCCACCAGCTACCAGTTTTTTTATTGGAACACATTTGTTTTCTATTGTCTGTGACTTCTCTTGTACTTTAATAGCAGAGTTGAACTGTTGGACAGAGATATTATGGTCTACAAAGCCTAAAATATTGACTATATTATTCTTTATGGAGAACATTTACCAACCCTTGAATCAGGTACAAATGTTTTAGTGAAGAATGTAGATATTATGCATTCTGTTTCCAATATTTATTACATCTTTGAATTATTCATCCTACAATGCACAGTTTCTCCCCCTCAGTATTATTTACATTTATGGTTGAAAAATTTTTTGTTGTGGGGGGATTTTTCTGGATATTGTAGGATGTTTAGCCATATCCCTAAGTCTTTTTCCCGCTATATGCCAGTAGTAGCACTCCTCCTCTAGTTGTGAATAACACAAATGATTTCAGACATTGCCACATATCCCCTGAGTGGTAAACTCATCCCCCTATAGAGAAACAATGCTATAATGCATCATTAGATTGATCAAGCATGAAGTTTTTTTGTTAAACAACTGAACTTCACTGATCTTGTGAGTATTCTACAGTAATGCCACTTAACCTTTTGTGCAAGTGAGAATTACATAAATGCAAGGGGGGGAAGTGCGTTTGAGTTTAAAAAGTTGTACAGTTGATACTGATGCACATCAAATGTTGAGAATTACTTTTCTAGAGCTCAGGTGTGCGTCAGAGTCAGCTGGAGGCTGTGTTGAAGTACAGATTGCCAAGGCCCACTCCTTGAGACTTTGATTCATTAAGTCTGTCTGGGCTTTAAAAATGTGCATTTCTAAAACTTCCCAGGTGATACTGCTGCAGCTAGTGCTGGAAGAATAACTTGAGAATCACTGTATGTAGCATAGTTATTTGTGTTGTCTAATTCGGCAATAGTCTTCTTGCAAACAAGGTATTGTATTGATAGCGTGAAAACTATGAGATGACCATGTTGCATAATCAAAGAAGTATGAAAACGAATTAAAATGAAAACAAAACAAAAAGTCCCACCTTGGTTCCAGCCTTGCTCAGCCCTTACTGGAAAGTCATTTTGCATCTCCGATCTCTGATTCATTATCTGAATTATAATATGTAATTAGCTATCTTGCCTAGATAACATTAAATTAATTGATATTCAATAATAAACACCACTTTTACTCCACAGTTTTCCTCATATGCACTTCACAAAAAAGAAATCATATTGACTATAGTGTATGGACTCCTTTTGTCTAAAAAGGCTCTACACAAGTAAAGCAAAAGTCACTGGAGGACCGTTTATCAGGGGAATTGAAACTTAATAATCACACTGATCTTCTTGGTCAATTCTAAAATAGGCTGTGAGAAGTACAGTGGGCCTTGAGTTCTTATTGGATAGATTATATCTTAGATCGGTTTAACCCCTTCTTGAAATACACAAATTCAGGATTTACTTTTTAATTAACCAAAACTTTTGAGATTCTAATACTCTGAGGCAGAATTATGAATATATCCATTGTGATTATTTCAGACCACACTGAAAACATTTATGTCTACCTTATTGGACTTTCTGGTTTATTTTGTGGTCATTTATGAGAAATGAACGTGACTTCACTTAAGAATTCAGTTGAAAGCTTTTGCCAGTAAGACACGTCAGTTATTAGGAGGTTGCTTCTCAAGACAGATGAGTCCCACAGTGTTCTCTACCATGTTTTCCTGCTGGAAGGTTCTGTAATGTATCTTACCACTTCTGTCATTAAGGGTATGGATCTTGCTTAGCATGACATTTTGTGGGATCCTAGTTGTGTGGTATTTATAGGCATCTAACTGGATGAATAACATCTGATGAATTCAAAGCACACACATTAATGGTAATGTGGACATCTTTTTGAATAAACTACAAAAACAAATCCAAATTCTGTGGTAATGCTTCCATCTGTCCTATGATATTCATTATTGTAGAATATCATACAGTGGTGGTGTCACAAATGTTATGTCTCTGGAGCATCATGTAACCTTGAGAGCAGAAATATCTAAAGAACCAAAGGAGAATAAAGGCTATAATTAAAAATAAGTCCCAATAAATAGTTTCCATGTGGTTGTGAAAAGCCCTTGAGCACAGCTGGAAAATTTCAGGCTGAAATATGTTGGAACAATAGTTTACAGAGGAAAGTAGCTGGGTTTGTGGTTACACTTGGAAGTGAAATTTTCTTGCTTGGTCATAACAGCAAACTATAAAGTTTAGTAAGAATATTCCCTAAAGAAGATTTTACTCCCTGAATTACAAAGAGAAACATAATAGATGATTTCTTAAGTGACAGTATGGGCTAATTGATACTTTAGAAAAAGTTGTATTATATACAAATGAAAGTAAGTTGCAAGGTGTAAAGAAAAATATAGACTTATTTAACAACAAAGGTTGAAGAATCCAAAATGCAGGAGAGGAGATGAAGAGTCAGTATAAAGTTGTAAAACAAGGTTACACTTGAAATCTTGTGATACACATCTTTCTTTTTACTATTTGAATAAACATCTCAATGTACACAAAACCAACTCATCATTTCCTTCCAGATTTGACTTCTTCTTCTACATATTTTGTTGTTGTTACATGCTTCTTTCTTCAAGGCACCTAATCTTGAAATTTTAGCATTATTTTAAAATTTTCCCTCTACTCACCTTCCATATGAAATCAATTGTTAATTTCTTTTAATTCTACTGCTAATGAGCCATTCACATCCATTTTTATTTAATAAATTATATTAACACACTGGATTCATTGAAAATAGTTTTCAAAGAAATACCAGGCAAGCAGAAAAGTTCTGTGAAACTGTAATGTCTTCGGGTATAGATAATCACTTGGAAATGGGAGGAGGGGATAGTAGGCTAGTTAATTTGTGGTTGATGAAATTTTAAAAGATCAATGCCTTGAAAGTTAGAGTGGAATCCAGGGGTAAGGAGAGAGAGCTAAAAACCTATGTGTGGCAGGCAGATGTGGGTAATCAGGTAATCATGAATAGTACATTGGATGGAAGGGGTGCATTTTAAAACAAGAATGTATGCTGCTGCTGACAAGTAGTATTATCAAACTATAAAATATGATTCCAAATATGGGTCTGGGGTGGAAATGAATTCCCCTTTTAGGAAAGTAGTTTCAATCAACGCTTCTTCAATCTTCAGACATATTTTTAGTAAATTGTTTAGTTGTGAAAATAATGTTGAAATTTTGTTCAAATTTTTTTTTCTCACATAATGGTAAAAATGTTTATTTTTATCAAAAGGGAAGTTTAAAAGACTAATGTAATTTATAGTGCATGCTGGGTCAGTGGTTTGGATATCAACAGGTGATACATTTATATACTTTGTTGAGACCTAAGTCACAACTGTAAGTTCAGTGACTTGATGGCTGCTAGGGTTGTATTAGTTTTCTGTTGCTGTGTAAAAAATTACCACAAACTTAGCAGCTTAAAACAAAACCCATTTTTTATTTCATAGATCCCTAAGTGATAAATACGGCATGGTGTGACTGGGTTCACAAGGCTGAATGAAAGGTATCAGCTAGTTGTGTTTTCATAAAAAATGGGCATATCCTCATATTTTCGATTACTGGCAGAATTTAATCCCTGGCTGTTGTCAGAGAGAGGTACCCATTTCCCAGCTGGGCATCAGTGGGCCACTGCTCCTCTCTCCTGAAGGCCATCTGTAGTTTTCTTAAGGGGCTCCCTCTGTTCTCAGAGTAGCCATGGAATGTCATGAAGTCCTTCTCATGCTTCAGCCCTCTCTGACTTCATCTTTTGCCATGAGCTGGAGAAAACTCTCCGCTTTTCAGGGCTCATGTCATCGATCAGATTAGGCCCACCTAGATATTCTCCCTATCTTAAGGTAAACATAATCACGGGAATAATACTATATGCACAAGCTCTGGGAGTTGGAGGAGATATCTTTAGTGAGAGGATTTTAGAAATTTTGTCTACCATACCTGTGTGATATCAGCAACTGGACAGTGTGGTTGTGGTTCACAACATGACCTAGGAAAAAAAGCGAAAATGGAATTGTTCTTCTTATTGGGATTGTGGGTACCATCATATCTCATTTTAAGTTGACTTAGATAAAAAAACAAATTGCTGCTAAAAAACAAAATAAATTCTATTTCCAAGACCAGAATGCTCTGATTAAATGAGTTAATAACGCAGGAATTAATATCTTTCAAAGATTTACAGTAAAATTTACCTAAGGTGATGTTTAAAAAATGAATATGGAGACATTTTTGGTAAATTTGAAGACAATGAAGTTACCCATATTTTATACAACTATTTTCATGATGCCAATAAATTGCACACATGTTGGCCAAAAGACTGTAGTGAAATAAAATATCAATTCTTAGATATTGTCAAGGGGAAACATAAGAATAACATCTTGAATTGCCATGATTTTCCATGGTTTAAAAGAAAACAGTAAATTGGAAAATACTGCTTTCTTAAGAAAACATTTCCTAATAAAATTACCAGGTCTTCTCTAAGATTTCCTTGCTTCCTCGGATTCCCACCCCATCCAACATGCACATCATGTTCTTACGAGTGTTATTAAAAAACTCCCATAGGAATTTTTTTTTTACAAAAAAACACTGGAGCAGATTTAAGTTAATTATATAAACCATTATAATTTAACAAAATTCCATATAAGACCCATTCAAATGGACACACAATGACTTGATTCTATGATTATGTTCTTTGGGAATTGAATGGACGTTCCATTCTGAGAGAAAATATGAAATTTAATTACTAAAAGAAAGTAAATCTATTTCTGGATTCAACCTAAACACAAACATTATTTGTTCCTGCTTAGCAAAAGAATTTTGAATATACTGAGCGAAACCTGAGTGAGTTTCCATTTCTGTTTTCTCATAAGAATTTGTTGGTCAGATAATAAAAGGGAAAGCTTGGAAATTATAAATTTTTGGAAGAGCCGTATATGTGTCATATGTGATTGTAATTTAAAAACAAACTAATTTTAATGACATTTGATTTATTATTTTTAAGAAATATTCTATAAGCATTGGTAATTTTTGTTTTTCAAAATTTAATAGTGTTATTATATTGGTTACTACAAATTCAGTCTTATTTTTATTCGTGACTCTTTTCCTATATAATATTAAAGCTAAATTATATTATAGATTGGCAAAAGTAGTTATGTCAGGAGGAACTTTTCCTTCTTTTCCCCTTTTATCCTTAAAAAGACAACTTTTTTCTTTTAATTTCACAGTTAAAATATAATACCATAAACATACTCTTATTCAGGAGAAATTTTATTCAATTATCTCATTTAAAAATGCTTATATGAGTCAAATTTAATGATTTATCAGCATGTATAATTTACTTCTAGTTTAGAATAAGCTGAGTACAAAAAAACTCATTAATCAGAGTGTCATTAGTTCATAATTTATAAATATTCAACTTAACTAACTGGAATTAACTGGAGTTGTGGAGAAATAATGGAGATTTCACATTAAAAAATAATAGGCATTGAGGCAAGGAAAATATTTAGTTTAATATAAAAGTAATAATTTTTCCTTAGTTCTTTCATTTACTACTAGCTTATCTTTTAAAATATATCTAGCATGTATGTTTATAAAATATAGAACATCACATAGAAATATATCACCTTTCTCTAAAGCAATGTTAAGCTTTCATCATTCATTTGTTCAATCACTAAATACTTATTGAGCATCAACTATGTACCAGGCACTGTGCAGGAGATGATAATAATAGATGGTGGTGGTGATGAGGAAGAGGCACACAGGTAGAAGAAAGCAAGGAAGTAAAGAAAACCAAAAGAAACAGCCAGAGAGACCAGGGAATTGGAGTATGTTGTCAAAAAGCCCTAAGAGAGGGAGTTCTTTTTTTTTTTTTTTTTTAGAAGGAGTGTCACTCCATCGCTGGAGTGCAGTGGCGCTATCTTGGCTCACTGCAACCCCCACCTAATTTTTGTATTTTTAGTAGAGACAGGGTTTCACCATGTTGCCCAAGCTGGTCTCAAACTCCTGACCTCAGGTGGGCGTCAGGTGGGATTACAGGTGTGAGCCACTGCGCCTGGTCTGAGAGTATTTTTAAAAAGTGTTTAACTGTGTCGAAAACTCTGAAGGAATTAAGAAAAAGGATACTGAACATTTTTCATTATATTTGCTAATGTGGAGGTCATTAGTGGCTTTGCAAGAATAGTTTTAATGGAATAATAAGAGCTAAAGCCAGATTAAAGGCCATTAAGAAGTGAGTGGAGACAGCCTGTGTAAACAATTCTTTCGAGAAACTTGACTCTCAAGGGCAGTACCTCAGAAGGAATATATAGTCAATGATTTTAGAAGTACATTAAAGGACCCAAATTATTTGCTTTTTCTCCCTTTGAGAAGAATTCTTTTAGTTATCCTCCCCTAGATTTTGGGCTGGCCTTAGTGACTTGCTGACCAATAGAATGTGGCAAAATGATGTTTCTTGGCTTCAGAGGATAAGTCATTAAAAACTTTGCAGCATCCACCTGGACTTCTTGGAGTTTTTGCTCTTGGAGCCATGAACCACCATGTAAAAAGTCTGAGAACTGAGATTATGTTCTGAGGAAGCCTGGGCTAGACACATGAAGAGGCTACATAGAGAGAGGTACCTGGATAGCTCCATCTGTTCCAGCCATCCTAGTGCAGGCAACAGGTCTTGAATGGAGAAGTCATTGTGATCGCAGCCTCAGCAGAAGTGATGTGAAGAACTGACAAACTCAGCTCACCAGGCCAAATGAGGCTCCAGACATATGGCCCCAGTTGAGCTATACCAACCATCTTGACTCTGCTGAAACATCCATTATTATGGAGCAGAGAAAAATCATTACCACTGTGCTCTGCTCAAATTCCTGATCTACAGTATGATGAACATAATAAAATAGTTGTTGTTTTATGTCATTAAATGTTGAGGAGGGTTTTTTCCACAATGATAAATAACTGGAAAAACCTTACACATAGTAGCTGTTCAACAAATATTTATTTAATTTAATAGTATGATTCACAAAAATTCAATTTATTTGATTTATTAAATGGAGCACATGCTTAAATTGGACATATATATAAAATGAAATTTTCTTAAGATGAATGTGTAATTCAGCATTCCAATCATTTAATTGGTCATTTGTCCTACTAGTCAAAATTGGTGAAAATTTTTATATTCTTAAATTATTTACACTCAAATTATTGAAAGTTTCTGTATTTTTAAAGCAACTTCTATATACCCAAATTTTGCAAAACGTTTGATATTGACTTGATCTATACTTACTTTGTTCCAAGAATTATTCTAAAGGCTTGATGTGTATCAAATCATTTAACCTAAGAACAACCATACCAGGAAGGTATTATTTTAATCCAGATTTTACAGAAGAATAAATGGAAGAACTAAGAAGTTAAATAATATTGTCAAAGTTGTACAGCTAATGCCTGATCAAACAGGGATTTGAATCCAGGTACTTGGGCTCCGCAGCTTCTGGTCTTGCTAGATGACAGTCCTAGCACCCGCTCCTTCCCCAACACATGCATGTTGTTTGAGTCCTTTTTTCTCAGCATCTGGATGAGAAAAAGTATAGTTGATGGAAGTCCTTGAGTAGCAAGATTGAAGGAAAGTGAAGGAAAACTTTGGAACTGGGGGCACTTCCCAGGCTAAGTGTAACAGTGATAGGTTAAGGAAAAGGAGATGGTTGCTCAGAAAGACGAAGTCAAAGAAGCTTCCTCTTTTGTATCTCAGCCCAGGTCTTATCTGTACTCCCTCCTGTGCTGAAATGATTGATCAACTGAGCCTAAGTCAGTTCCAAAATGTATTTAAGATATGCTCCAACATAAAATCTTTTAGTCTCCAACATAAAATCTCCTCCAACGTAAAATCTTTTAGTCTCATTTTACTTAGAGCTTCCTATACATTTTGGCTATGCTACATAAGGCCTGAATGTTAGGTCACACGTCCAAATACAATTTAATTGTTAAGCTTCGCAGTCTTACATACATACAACTCAATATTCACAGTCAAATTTGTGATAAGTACAACCTCCCCTTTCTCCCAAAGTGGCATAATCACTGAAATACAGGCACTATACTGTTCTTCAGGAAGTTCTTGGCAGCTTTCAAATACTCCTCAGCAACATTATCCCACATCAACCTTCAAGGAAATGACACTGGACTGCTACCAAAGCTTTGTTATGTGTTACCCAGAAATATGACTCTCAGTGGTGAATTCTTGTAACTTTCTCTAAATGGATTATTCCCATCTGGAGAAGCATTATGTGTTAAAGGTGACTACTGATAGAGGTGGCAAGAGATAATTCCATAGCAGGAAAAGCAACTTGCAGTATTTTTTATGTCAAATTGACTTTATCCTAGTGAAAGGATAGTATGTGAAATAAAAATATCTTAAAAATGGAATTGTATAAAGAATAAAATGTCTCTTTTTCTACACATTTATTGATATGATTTGGTGGTGTCCCCAACCCAATCTCATCGTGAATTCTGGTTCCCATAATCCTCACGTGTCATGGGAGGGACCCAGTAGGAGGTAATTGAATCATGGGGGTGGTTACCCTCATACTGTTCTTGTGATAATGAGTGAGTTCTCCTGAGATCTGATGGTTTTATAAGGGGTTTTCCCTCCTTTTGTTCTGCACTTCTCCTTGCTGTTACCATGTGAAGAAGGACGTGTTTTCTTCCCCTTCCGCCATGATTGTAAGTTTCCTGAGATTTCCCCAGCCATGCTGAACTGTGAGTCAATTAAACCTCTTTTCTCTAGAAATTACCAAGTCTGTGGTATGTCTTTATTATCAGCGTGAGAATGGACTAATACGTTCATTAGATTACATTTTGGATAAAGCAGGTGTGATCAGCAACACTCTCACCATCAAGCATATCTTTGCTGTAACTCCCTTTGAATAGGAAAGAAAGTATCATTGTATATGTGTATGTAGGCACATGTGAATTTATCATGTGGAGGAAGCAGGACAAAGAAGGGGAAGATGAGGCCATAAAAGACAGGCATATAGGCGTCTGTGCTGGGGGAGTAAGCGTAGAGGTGCAAAAGAAGAGGGAGATTAGTAAATAATAAAAGGAAAAGTCAGGTTGTAACAAGGGACTAGGATGGTGATCCTAGTTAGCGGACAAAATAGTTTCTGAAGGCTTCTGTAAGTGAGGATTAGACATTTTTATTGATGGGTACTTGAATTTTTCTCCTACTCTATTTTCAAATGAAGCAGATTAATATTCTTGCTTCTTATAAGAAAACTTTAGTTTCCAGACAGTGATAATTTTCACAGCATGAAAATGTTACATAGTCTTCTGACTAACCTCAGTTACTTAAGTATTGTAAGGTTCTATTTTCAGGTATCATCTGTTTTCAGATACTTTTGCTATAGTGATGCTTCAGGCATCATTTTCTTATTTTTAGGATACAATGGCCTCTGGGTTTCTGCCATTCATTTTCTGACTGTGGTATCCAAAACCATTCGAACAGAAGGTGCATGGTGGCACACACTCTCAGCTGTGGACCCGTGTCGTTCTCAGGCTTCCTCCTAAGGACAGAGCCCTGAATGTCATCGTGGGCCATGTGCTTCTGAAAGAGAGCTCCTCCTTTTCAGCCCTGGGGGATGTGTCTTAAGTAATGGTGATTCAGTTCACCCAGTTATTGGTTTAAGCATGTGCATGTCATGTGTTCTGGCCAATGAGATAGAAGGAAAAGTCATCTGGGGATGTGTCAGCTCTTAATTTATTGCCTCAGCTCTGAATGCATCCTTCGATACATGCTCTATGATCAATAACAGAATTCCTTTAAGATTTTCTCTTTAAAGTAAGTATGACACTAAGCATTCTCAGTAGAGGGCGCTGGAGAAACATCGTAGGAGGCAGAGGCTTCATGCAATTGCAGCCTGAGCTGAGGAGCGACTGTGTGGTTGTGGGTACTTGGAGTGGAACCTGCCTGAGCCACAGGTTCAGAACACGATTTCTCTGTGACCTTGTCGTCTTGGCCTGGAGATGAGCTGGCTGGTCTGCATGCAGCTGCCTGGGACCCAAGGGGTAGCCCCCTGTGCAAGCCCATTCCCACCAGCCCACAAGCTCTGAAGGTCTTTGCCCTCCACTGGGTGGGTGGGGGTGGGGTTGGGGCTGCTGAAGGTCTTTGCCCTCCACTGGGTGGGTGGGGGTGGGGTTGGGGCTGCCTGTTTGCCTAGCAACTCTAGATCAGTGCAGGTCTGGCTAAACTAGCTAACTTTCTTGCTATCCAGTGGCTGAAGCACACCTTTTCCAACAAGGCCTGGATTCCTCAGATTGTCCATGTCTTAAAGTCACTTTTATTATAGCTAATAATTTTTATTTTAAACTTTCTATATTTAACCTACTGTGTGATTTCTATCTCCTGATTAGATTCAGATTGCTACAGGGGGTTCCTGGGAAACAGCTCTTTAGTCATAAAAAGCAGTGAATGAATGAGTCTTCCCTTTTCTGACTCTGAATGTTAATACCATACATGTAACCCCCAGAACTACAGGGTTCATTTTTAGCCAATGGGAAAAGCCAAGGAAAGAACCTGGATTTCTTTTTTTAATTTTAAGTAGATATGAGGGTCTTGCTATGTTGCCTAGGCTGGTCTCAAACGTCTGGGCTCAAGTGATCCGCCCATTTTGGCCACCCAAAGTGCTGGGATTATGGGTGTGAGCCACTGCGCTCGGTCAGAAACTGGATTTTTGATGACATCATCATGCCCTTGATTTGACCAACCCTGCTGTGGTCCTCAAATGAGGTTGTGAGGGGTGAGGGTGGGGAGAAGCACATACCCTTATATTTAGGCTACTTGGGGTTGTGATTTCACTTACTTGCAGGACAAAGCACTCCAACAAAAATGTAAAATATTCCCTTGTTTAAAGTCATCATTAGTCTTACTTTCTTTTTTTTGAGATGGAGTCTCGCTCTGTCACCCAGGCTGGAGTGCAGTGGTGCAGTCTCAGCTCATTGTAACCTCCACCTCCCAGGTTCAAGTGATTCTCCTGCTGCAGCCTCCTGAGTAGCTGGGAGTACGGGTGACTGCCACCATGCTCAGCTAATTTTTGTATTTTTAGTAGAGACAGGGTTTCATCATCTTGGCCAGGGTGGTCTTGAACCCCTGACTTCGTGATCCTCCCGCCTCGGCCTCCCAAAGTGCTGGGATTACAGGCGTGAGCCACTGTGCCTGGCCCAATCTTACTTTCTTTAAAGCAGTCACATTGTCTCTTGGCAAGCCTGGTGAGAACATCAGTTGTTACCCTTTTCATTCATTAGATTATATTACCCATCTTGCTTAACAAATTCCAGAAGAGCTCTAGTTTCCTTTCATTGTCACAAATATTCAAGTTCCTCATATCACAAAGTTACATCAGCATTTCTTTTATTCTTTCAGGTTAGTTTTCTTTTTCTTTTCTTTTTTTTTTTGTGTGTGTGACAGAGTTTTGCTCTGTCACCCAGGCTGGAGTGAATTGGCGCCATCTTGGCTCACTGAAACCTCCACCCCCCAGGTTCAAGCGATTCTCCTGCCTCACTCTCCCAAGTAGCTGGGATTATGGGTGCCACCACCATGCCCTGCTAATTATTTAATTTTTGAACTTTTAATAGAGACAGGATTTTGCCACGTTGGCCAGGTTGGTCTCAAACTCCTGACCTCAGGTGATCCACCCGCATCAGCCTCTTGAAGTTCTAGGATTACAGATGTGAGCCACTGTGCCCAGCCTCCTTTCTGATTATGTTGAATTTCTACTAGTTTTTATGGCCAAAAAAAAAAAAAGCCATTGACAGGAAAGCCCTGTGAGTTATTTCTTTGGAGGATAAAACATGTTACATGTCAATTCTTCCTCAGAAACCTGGAATGGCCTCTCTTCCAGGAAACAGACACTTCCCTCACTTTCTAACTTCTCTACTTTCACACAACTGGGTATAATGCTTCAATATAAGGCTCTGCTTAGAATGAATACTATACACACACAAGTTAATAAAAAGAGAAATACAGCACTCCAAGGCCTATTGTCTCACACCACCTGTGTCCCATGATGAGTACTTATAATTTACATCCTTGATTAAAATAAAATCTTTCCACAGTGGAGTGGGCTACAGAGAAGAAATCTGCCATATGGCTTTTACAGGTGTCGTCTGCTCATCATATTGTCATGGCATGGCTACTTTGCTCCTTGTTTACAGTATGTAGTTACTGCAGTTTCCTTTGCTTTCTGTGACTTCCTGAGGCTTCCTCCAGAAACATTTCCAGCACTCTAAGTATCACCAGTCCCTCCCTGTTGGAGCTGGTGACTGCAAATTCTTTGTTGGAAGAACAAAGGTCTTAAAATAATTCTTCCCATTTCACTCTACTCAGTCATCCTCCTTAAGCCCCCTCCCCTGCTTAGGATAGTGCATCTGATTATTGCTTCTCCTGTCTCTTAATGCCAGAATCTTATCCATGAGCCCCTCCCTCCCTCCCTCCCTCCCTCCCTCCCTCCCTTCCTTCCTTCCTTCCTTCCTTCCTTCCTTCCTTCCTTCCTTCCTTCCTTCCTTCCTTCCTTCCTCTTCTTCACAGAGCAGCTCACTCCACACTCCTTAAAGTGAAACCCCGTCTCTACTGAAAATACAAAAATTAGCGGGGGCATGGTGGCACGTGCCTGTAATCCCAGCTACTCAGGAGGCTGAGGCAGGAGAATCGCTCGAACCCAGGAGGCGGAGCTTGCAGTGAGCTGAGATCGCGCCACTGCACTCCAGCCTGGGTGACAGAGCAAGACTCCGTCTCAAAACAAAAACAAAAACAAAAACAAAAACAAAAACAAAAACCACTGCTTTTATTCTGGGCACTAAGGGAACAGATGTCCCTGAATCCCTTCCCAGACAGACCTGGTGGCCTGCATAAATATACTTCCATCTTGCATACATATTCTAGAGAATGATGACATGCATGCTTTCTATGGAGCTACCTAGGCAGTTAGGCTGCTCTTAAAGTTCATCAATGCCTTACTCACAGGAAAGGGAGGTTCAGACTCCTTGAATGTAGAAAGTTAACTGGTGTTTGCCTCGAAAAAAATAAAATTCAGGACTTAGTTAGAGGAGCAGGAGAAAAGGAGAAAAAAATAGGGCTGCTTTTTTTTTTTCACCTGCAGTGCTCCTCCCTTGCAATGCTTAAGGACACCTGCTAGTCTAAGAAAATGAAGGGTAAGATCCTGAGTATTTAGTGGACTGTGAGAGGAAGAAGCCATCAAGATGGGATTGCGAATCCCAGAATCTGAAACTCTTCAAGAAGCCACCCCAGGGGAGTGTCCTCAACATTTGTGTGCCCAAAAATGTAGTGCAAAATCATCATAACAGATGACCTTCTGATCAGAAAAGTCTTGATATTTCACTTTTAATAATCAGAAAAATAAAGTCTGTGAATGTACTTCTTTGAAACTCATAGAAGCCTTCAAAGATGAAACACTGAACTCAAGAGGTGGCTTGGATAAGTTATTTATTTTACAATTGGGGCAAAGAGGCTGAAAATTAAAAATCGAGAGTGTAGCTTTCTTTTGTGAATTTATTGAAAGGCCTGTCTACGCTCTTGCAGAGTTCTTGCTTCTGTTATCTTTTTTGCTTTCTTCTTTGGACGGAAATGAAGAACTCCTGAAAGCAATATTGAAGATTGGCCTCTGATGTGCTCCTTCTCCTGCCTCCCTTCCATCCAGAACTGAATGGTGATGAATTAAATGAGGACAGCTTCTGTCACCTTATATCAGGACACTTCACAAATAATCCTGACTTCTCACATCTCAGCAGGACCAACCTGAATCTCTCTTCAGGAGACAGAATTCTAATTGTGAAACCATGAAGGTCAAGATAGGACAAGAGGCTTCCTCACTTCTGCCTTCCCTTTGTATTAGCGACAACATAACTTTATCCTAATTGTGGCTCAGGTCTTTAACAAAGTATTAATTTATTCTTGACTTGTCAATTGTGAGCAGAAGTCATAAACTGTTGCATAGCATTCCCGTATGATTTTTTGTGTATAGGAATTTAACCTAAAATTATGGATGCATATAAACATTTAGCTTTAGGATATTTACTATACAATTTAAAAAAATCGATAAATATGTATCTAGATATACACATATATAGAATACATATATCTATAGCATATATAGAACTTTTATGTATAGCCGTCCTTAATCATGATGCTTCTAAAAAATTTAACCTTAGAAAATATTTATTTTTAAGTACTAAATAAAGTTAAAAAATGAGAATAATATGCTGTATCTATACCATCTTACATCATTTACATCTATATATACAGTATATACAGCCGCATCTCTGCTGGCTGTATTGTTTATTAGCTTCATCACCCACTCTGTCTGTCTCTTCTCTCCACCATCTTCTCAAGCACTCTTCTACCTCCTCGTTCTTTTACTCACTAAAATCTTAAGAATATTGACATTTGGAAGCTAAGATTATGGATGGTTTATATTTTCCTCTTTCTCTTGCCTGTGTTTTGTATTTTTTAAACAATAATTGTATGTAATTTGGCTTGCTCTGTGACTCCTACATCACTACCTATAATGACTCGTGATTAGAATTTCAGAAGCCTCAGAAATATTCTTAGCTATGTAGATTTACAATAAAAAAGGCCATTCTGCCTGAATTATTAGTGGTTTCATATGGCTCGACTGGTTCTCAGTTTACACAGACCCTGAGAGCTGGAAAAACCTTAGAGGTTATCCAAACCAGTCCTCATCTTAAGGGGAGTAAACTGAAACCCAGAGAGGCTGGACACTCAATCATGTCAGCATAAGAAGTCACAGAGTTGGTGGCGAATCCAGGATTCTCACTATACAATGACATTTATGACTACAATAGAAACTTGTTCGAAATTCCATTGTTTTATTTCAGTGGCTGTTGGAAAACAAGCATACCTCACATATACATGCTTCATGACAATAGGGCTGGCATCTTTAAATCAGAATATTTAAAGTAGAATGAAAAGTTATTATTCTAATATAAGCATAAGAAACATAGACATGCGGTACTCAAAATAGCTTCAAATTATGAGTTTTATGTTCCTTCATTTTGAAAGAAGAACTCATCAAAAAATGTCCTTTATTCAGAGTGTCATCCTGAAGACAGCATGCTAACAAAAGTCAAGCTGCAGACTTTACACCTTAAGAACGGAATGTCAATATACCAAGACATTCTTCTCAGCAGTTGTTATATTTTATTTATTTTTACTTATTTATTTATTTTTGAGACAGAGTCTCTCTTTGTTGCCCAGGCTGGCGTGCAGTGGTGTGAACTTAGCTCACTGCAATCTCCACCTTCCTGGTTCAAGGGATTCTAGTGCCTCATCCTCCTGTGTAAGCTGGGATTACAGGCACGTGCCACCACACCGGGCTAATTTTTGTATTTTTAGTAGAGACGGGGTTTCACCATGTTGGCCAGGCTGGTCTTGAACTCCTAGACTCAAGTGATCTGCCCACCTCGGCCTCCCAAAGTGCTGGGATTACAGGCATGAGCCAACGCGCCCTGCCAGCAGTTGTTATATTTTAGATAAAAATTTATTGTGAAAAATCACATACAAGGTTAAAATAATTCTTATGCTTATTATACGTGTGTATGGGTGACAATAATTGCTGCCGTGTTTGAAATGCGGTAGTAGCTTTATCTTGTTCAGCTACGTTTTTAGGCATCGAAAAGGGAAGTTCTGGGCAGCGCATCTCCTACTACTCAACACACACACAAATTGACACTCTCGATCAGACCATGCGCAGTAAAACTGCACCAGAAAAATTTTACAAAGGCCCCCCGTTTGAGGTCCTTGTTCCTTGCTTCCCTGTTATTTGACCTGGTTCAGTCTGGCGTGTTGTTTGTATTTATACAATGTTATACGACATCTGCTGTTCCGCAAAACTCATCATGATGTGTGGCACTTTGCAGCTGACTGCCATCCTATTCATAGTAATTGAATGCAGTGTATTCTGCATACACTGCTGATTACCCTCATTCATTTCAGTTCCTAAAGACCTAGGATTTCTCTGAGTGCCCTTACAACATTGTTCTACTCATTTGGCTCCAATTAGCTTCAGCTAACGAAAATACATTACAACAAACCTCTGGTTAGCCATTGCTGTTTCTAATGACATAATTTGTGAGTTTTTAGCCCCTGAAAGTAAAGACATTGGGAATTAAGTTATGATATCTTCTGCAGGGCTGAGAAATATTAATTGCAGGCATCTGGGCTCACTTCCTTAAAGAAGATTTGTGATTTCTATGTAACTAATAAATGTTGACATAATTGAAGAGCTATAAACTCCATATGTTGGACTTCCTGAGGAATTTCTGATCATACCCTTGTTCAGCTGAGTAAGAGAATGTTTTGGCATTAACATTATTTCATGGTTTACTTGCGCTTACCATTTTGTGATCATATTGAATGGTTAAAGCATTCATGCAAGAGAGTTTCTTTAGGAATTTTTTTTTATTGATACATAATACTGTACATATTTATGGGGTACATGTGATATTTTGTTACATGCATACAATGTGTAATGATCAAGTCAGAATATTTGAAGTATCCACCACTTTGAGTATTTATCATTTCTATGTGTTATATACAGTTCAAATCCTCTCTTCTAGCTACTTTGAAATATACAATACATTGTTGTTAACTAAAGTCAGTCTGCTCTGCTGAACAATAGGACTTACACCTTTTATCTAACTGTGTGTTCTTACCAGTTAACCTACCTCTCTTCATCCCCCTCTCCCACCCACCCATCCTTCTCAGCCTCTAGTATCAATTAAAAGATGTATATTTATCCCAAAACTAAAAAAGTGTCACTAGTTTAGAAAAGAGGTATATACTTTTAACTTAATTTTTTCTTCTCAGCGGACGCTTTTTCCATTCTAGTCCTATTATAGCACTAGAATATGAAATAAGACTCTACGAGTCTATTCATACTTTAAAGACAATAGTCTTTGCAATCATGTTTTGAATAATGATGATAACTTCAAAGGATCTTTTTAGATGTAATCTAGACACTTGAACAAAATTAAGAATGGGTCATAATATATTCTATAACAAATTAAATTACCTTATTCCTTATTAGTGAGGTTATAACCATGAAATTCAGCAATTTCCCTGTCTTTTAGACTAGGTGTTTGCATAGTGCACAACTGTCCTTCATGGTATAAAATCTGGATTTTGATCTGTTTTGCAATATAATCAATTATCATATATTAGTCTAAGGGAATTTCATTGCTAAATCACAACCCCAAGCAAAAAGTCTTTTTACTTATCCTTCCTTTGAAAGTTTTAGCTTTTAAATGATATTCTCATTGCATTTTATGTTTTCTTCGCCTTCCATCCCAAACTTGAAAAGACAAGGCCAATCATAGTCAAATACCGTAAAAGCTGTGCTCCCATGGTTTTTATGTAAAGTTAATAAAATAAATAAGAGGCAGCTGTGCATTTCAGGAAATCACTCCATTGAGGGGTTCTGGGAATACTATAACCACAAGTACGAAGCTGGAGTCACCAGAAACCCTCAATGGAATTACAGCTCAATAAATCAAAATTTGCTCCTTTTTACCTTTACAGTATAACTCTGCATTCTATTTGGTGCCTATGCTTTATAACATTCCCATTGCTATCTTTTTAATTATTGTGACATTTCTTGCTTCCTGTTCCAGCAGGTTGGGATTTTTGGGGATGACTATATGTTTGGTTGCTGTGGGTCTCAAACATTTTGGGCCTAGGGATAGTTGCATGGTAATAAATCCCTCTCACTTGCTTCCACCAAATAAGAAAGAAAGAAAGAGGAAATATAACGAACTAGGAGGTATTTTGATAACATTTCATGGAGGTATATCATAAGTACATCCATGCCAGATTGTAATATCATACATGATAATAGTTCCATGGATGGGCAAGTGGACCACCTAGAAGCCCCTAAAGACTACTGAATCTTGTAGTTGATGGATGGGCTGTGAGTTACTGGTTTTGACAATCACTGCAATACAGTTGTCATTCTTCTCTTTAACTTATATATTCCTTGGTGACAACCTAGTGAGATATTTTTTTCCCAGGATTTCTTATTCTTGTATGTCTTCCCTACTCCCATTTTCTTTTACAGTAATAGCAGAATCTTAGTTTCCTTAATTGAGAAAACACTACACACATTCTTCTAGCTAAGCAGACCAAACACTAAAAATTATGCATTAATCTGGAGCCTGGGTTCAAATCCTGAGTTTAAATCATTCATTAGCTCGATAACCATGGGCAAGTTACTTTAACTTTGCATGCCTCAACTTTTCCCTAAAATAGCATTAATAATGTTACAATACCCATACCCTTGAATTCCAGTGAGGCTAATTGGTAATCTTCTGCACTATAACAAACTAACCCAAACTTAATGTCTTAATAAACATTTATTATTTCTCATAACTCTATGCTTTGGCTAGGAGCTTCTTCTGCTCTGGAGATATTTGACTTAGATGGATGATTTAGGATGGTTTCATTTATAGTCTGGTGGTTGGTAAGCCGTGGTCTAGGGACCCCTCACTCTCGTGTCTGCCGAGTGGCCAGATGTAATCTGTGGTGATGGCATATGCCTCTCACCATCCAACAGGTTAGCCCAGGCTTCTTCACATGGTGATATCAGGCAGCAAAAGAGGGCAAGTCCATTTTCAACCTTCTGCTCGTCTCATGTTTGCTGTGTCCTCGACTAAAACAAAGTCCATGATCAAACCCAGAGTGAATGCGTGGAGAGATAGACTCCACCCCGATAGGAGGAGTGGAAATTCACATTGCCAAGGAGCATACATTCCAGGATGGGTGGAATTTATGGGCTTTTTGAAATCTGCCATATAAGGTGTGAGATGAATTGGGAGTGCTGAGAGTAACAAAGTAGTAAATTCTAAGTAAGACTTAGAATTAATGACTAGCATATAGTAAGAGTTCCAAATAAATGTTATCTGTTATCATCTTCATCTGTTATCATCTTCATCATCTTCTTGATTAGCACCACCCTTACACTTAGCTCTTGGCATTAGATCTGGTTTTGTGCAGTGACCTCTTTCATATGTAAATGAGAAATTATATCTATTTAGATGCTGTTGAAATTCTGATGCATCTGCTGTAAGATTCTTTATGTGGACTCTCTTTAGGAAGGTGAGTAACATGGTCATTACAGAAAAAATTTGTTTTTCTACAATCCACTCTTTACACTCTTGCCAGAGTAATACTTTTTTTTTTTTAAGTCTTGACTTTTTTTTAATTTCTAAGTTTCCAGCCCCATTTTCCACAATACTCTCAGCCCGCGCAGAATAGTCCCTCACAACAAAGAGTTGTCTGGCCCCAAATGTCAATAGTAGCACTGTTGAGAAATCCCACTTTAGGGTATATTTAATATTGGCTTGGCTCAGATTTTGGGTTTCCATTCCTTTATAGGATTCTGCCTAAAGAATGCAATATAATTTTTAAATATTTTAGAATGACAATAATTTTATTAAATATAGCACTGATAATTTTATTTCTTGAAAGTAAAATCTTTAAAGATTTAAAGTTAAATGTTTTTGAAGAAATTTATTTTAAATGAAGTAGAAACTGACCAAGTGAAATTGAAATGGCTTTGAAATAGACTAAACTGACTTCCTTGAACCTGAATTTCTGACTGATAGTAACTGGGTCTCAGCTAAAAGCAGTATTCACAACGTGGACCTTCAGATATGAAACGAAGCCCTTGAGGCTGGTATAGTAGATGAACTCATATTGCTTTGGATTTCATTATCCTTAATAACTATGATAAATGCCAGTCATGGATTCTCACAGATTGATTCTATCTTGGGAAAGTTTCCATAAAGATGTGACTCAGGTAAGACAAATGTGTTTTAAGTATCTAATCTATAGTGAAAAATTTGTCCTATCCCTGAGGAATGAAATGATAATTTCAAACACATGTTTGGATAACTGGACAGTAGAGACAATGTGAGGATTGCCATGGTAGCTTATTTAAGAAAACAGTATCCATTTGTAGTTAAACCAGAAAGATTCTACTCAGATAAAAATGATAAGGGGCATCCGTTAGATCTTAGGCTGTCCTCTCCTCCTCCCCTTCCTGACATTACCATCAGCCAAACTGGGAACCAGCAGTGCTCTGAATCTATCTCACAGAGCTCCAGAGGGACCATGTGAACCTTCTTGCTGCACTAGAGAAACTGATGCTGTAGTCAACTCTTTCTTCTTTCTGTTTATCGAGGGATGGAGGATCTCCTCCTTTCTTCCCCTGAAGTGTTTATGAGGAGATCTTAGTGGCTTTGCCATTCAAACCACAGAACAGTTTTTGCCTGTTTGTTGAAAACTGGTAGAAGGAAAACAGCACAGCCTGACCCAGTAATTGCAGGAAGATTGAAGAAAAATCTTCATCAATGCCAGGAGACATAAAACTATTTCCCCTCCGAATAGCTCAATGATTTAGATACAGAACATTTCTCTTGTATTTAGACTTAGAATAACAACAGCTGAAAACTTCAGGTTCTTTCCTTTGACTATATAAGGCTTCTCTATTGGGGAACAAGACAGGGAGGGGGCCTCATGACTGAGGGTGGACTTAGCGGGTGAGGATGATATCCCCAATCCTGATTAGGAGGCTCTGTGCACCTCCTTGGGGCACAGTCTGATGGTACCATTTCTGTTCAATCCAAACAGATAAGACAAAAGAAAATAATTTTTTTTAAATGATAGCACCAAGCTCCTTAGCGGCATGGGTTTTGAGCAACCACAAGCGATAGTTGCTATGAGTATTAATTAACCACCTATATCCTTGAAATAACATTGGAATCCAGGGCAGGGACTGGTGCATAAGGATGAGTCCCAGCCAGCAGAAGAGAGTTAAGGCTTGTGCCACAAAAGGTTGTCCTTAGACACTAGGCAGTCCTGACAGGATTCCCCACTCTCATCAGTTGGATTGGGAGGGCTGGCCAGTAGGTCCCCCCTTTCTGCCTTCCTTAACGTGCAGTCCCATTTTTCACGCCATTTCCTCCAGCTCATTCCTCTCTCACCAGCCGTAACTGTGGAGGAACAGATGTTGAGGAAAGGATTGGCCTCTTTTCATCTCCCAGAGGGTGCTGGCTACAGGTGAGATCTGGGACTTGGCCTGGAAACCACCACTCAGGCCCAAAGTCGGAAAGCCTGGGAAAGCCAGCGCTGAGACCTGCTCCACTGGATTTCTCTGAGACGCTCTACTTACATCATGCCCCCTTCTCAGTCTACAGGGGGCGGTGACCATAGAAGAAGAGGTAGAGCAGGATTTGCCCTGAGACAGTCAAGGGCCTGGTCCCCTAGATTCACTCGGGCTGTCCTAGTAGCTGGGGCATTCCCCAGCTCCTCCCCACCCGCTAATGGACTTCCTATTAGGAGTCCATTTCTACTTTTGTTTTTTCACCTCTTAGCAAAACTATAGAGATAAATTGGGCAATGGCAACTCCATTTGCTTAGGTTAGGTGGCAAAATGTATTTCTTTTTCCAAAAGAAAAGAAAATTACCTTAAAAATACATGAAACAAATTAAAAAAGAAAGGGAGGCTGGATTGTTTTAATTGCCCAAGCCTTGGTCTTTTTCTGTTCATAAATTAAGTTTCACACTTTGGTGATTTTCTTTTCTTGTTTAGGATAACATGCTGACTGTTCTAGCAGGTAAAGTTTTCAGAGTGTGTACCTTGGTCCGCCTTGCCTCAGCCCTTTTCCTGCAGTGAGTTCTACTTGTGCTTCTCACCATTTCACCCTCCTAGCCAGGTGACTTCACTCATTCCCACCAAGAACAAAGGGTTTTTTATGTGTGTTGAGAGTGCTTAAGTCTTGACTCACCATTTCCTCGGGTGGGGGTTGCGAGGCCACTTGTGACATTTCTGTGCAAATTTTACCTAACCCATAGCTACATGAAGGAGTTTAAAATGAATTTCAGCAGGTAGCGAGTTAGCATATAAACAAACATCCCTTAAAACCATAGAGATTTTCCCCTTTCTCTAGAATCTTGACTCTGGTCCCAGAAACCTGAATGAATAAAAAGAGTCCCCTTTGCTGTGGTAAAATAGATTGGTACCCAGTCCTGATACATCACTTACTGAGGAGAGAGAAAAATGTATTTTTATGAACGCAAATCAGGGTGAGGGCTGGAGGGGAAACTCCTGCTTGTGATTGCTTTAAAGTTGAGTACTATTCTACTCCATAATTGCAGCAACTTTGAACATTGTACTTTACTGGAAATCTGCCAGCCTCCACCACCTCTGTTCTGATTGTGCCCTTCCTCTTCCCCTTTAATCTGTTCTTTACTTTGTCTAGGGGGAGATGGGGCTCAGACATTGGAGTTTGTTTTTTGATAGATGAGCACTCCAGTGTTCTTCCCAGGAAGGTTGTTTCAGCCACAAACCACTTCATTCTGCTGTTTCTATTTGAATATAAAAGGAAATATATTAAAAAAGAGATATTGTTTCAATAAGTTTGCTAATAAATACAAAAAAAGAAGATATTAATGAAAATTGTTGTAACAGACTGGCACTAATCTATCAATCTGATAAGCGATGGATGGTAGAATGAGAAATATGGAGTTACAGTGGGATCCTGTTACTTAGGAGACTGAGGTTAGGAGAAATAGGACTTCTTAAGATCTGAGGTAAAAATTTGTTTGTCCAGTTGTTCATTCATTTGTGGCAGTCATCCTATGCATCAGTTAATAAATACATGCAAAATATTTAATATGAATATGGTACTATTATTAATCTCTATAATGAAAAATTAGTAAACTCAATGTCTACAGAATTAGTGAACAGGTTAGTGAAGCTGACAAAGTATTATGCCATAGAGAATAGTGGGGAATTGGTCAGGTGGAGAGCACATGTCCCACCTAAATGGAGCAACCACTACCCAGCTCATGTTAAGCCCAGTATTTTCCAGATTTCCTGTTTTTTCAAAATAATATACTCAGGCTATTTTTGTGTGTGTGTGAAATTTCTTGATTTTAAAATACTATGCCATTTTAGTCAATATTGTGCTGGCGGTTCCAGCCAGGGCAATTAGGCAAGAAAAGAGATGAAAGGTAGCCAGATTAGAAAGAAAGGAGTAAAATCATCCCTAGTTGCAGATGACATCATCTTTTATACAAAAATTCCCAAGAAAACCACTAAAAATAAAACTACTAGGACTCATAGATGAGTCCAGCAAAGTTGCAGAATGCTAGTTCAACATACAAAAATCAGTTGTATTTATATACATTTGTAATGGATAATCTGAAGTTAAAATTAAGAAAGTGATTCTATTTATAATAACATCAAAAAGAATAAAATACGAATACATTTAACAAAGGGAGTACAAGACTTGTACTCTGAGAACTGAAACACGTAATTGAAAGAAATTAAATAACTCAATAATGGAAAATATCAAATATTAATATATTAGATGACTTAATATTCTTAAGATGGTAATATTCCATAAATTGTTTTGTAAACTCAACACAATCCTTTATCAAAATTCTAGCTGACTTCTTTGCAAAATTGACAAGCAAATCCTAAAATTACCATGGAAATAGAAGAGACTCAAAATAGCCCAAAAAATCTTGAAAAAGAATAGCAAAGTTTAAGAACTCACACTTCTGATTTCAAAACTTACCACAAAGCTGCAGTACTCAAGACAGTGGTGGTACTCGCATAGGATAGACATAAATCAGTGGAATAGAATTAAGAGTGCAGAAATAAACCCACATTTTGGCCAATTGATTTTTGGCTAGGGTGCCAAAACAATTCAGTGTGGAAAACAATAGTCTTTCAACAAATGGTGCTGGAACAATTGGGTATTTACATGCAAAAATACTTCCTGTCTCACATTGTACACAAAAATCAACTTGAAATGGATTATAGATTAATCTTTGTATCTTTAGTCAATACATTCTTACATATGACACCAGAAGCATAAGTGACAAAAGAAAACAAATAGATACATTGGACTTCATCAAAAAATTTTAAAGAAGTGTTGTAAACAATACCATCAAGAAAGTGAAAGGACAAACGGCAAAATGGGAAGATACACTTGTAAATCATATAGCTGATAAGAGACCTGAATACAGAATACATGATGCGTGCTTACAACTCAATTTTTTTTTTTTTTGGATAGAGACTGGGTCTTGCTCTGTCACCTAGGCTGGACTGCAGTGGTGCAATCCCAGCTCACTGCAACCTCAAACTTCTGGGGTCAAGCAAGTGATCCTCTTGCCTTGGCCTCCTGAGTGGCTGGGACTTCAGGTGCATGCTACCCACCCGGCTATTACATTTTTGTTTTTTTGTGGAGACCTGGTCTCACTATGTTACCCAGTATGGTCTCCAACTCTAGGCCTTAAGCAGTCCTTTTGCCACGGCCTCCCAAAGTGCTGGGATTACAGGTGTAAGCCACCACTCCTGGCCCTGCAACTCAATATTAAAAAGACAAACAATCTGACCAGGCGAGGTGGCTCATACTTGTAATCCCAGCACTTTGGGAAGCTGAAGTGGGGGCAGATTACTTAAAGTCAGGAGTTTGAGACCAGCTTGGCCAACATGGTGAAACCTGTCTCTACTAAAAATGCAAAAATTAGCTGGGCGTGGTGGCACACACCTGTAATCCCAGCTATTCGGGAGGCTGAGGCACAAGAATCACTTGAACCCTGGAGGCAGAGGTTGCAGTGAGTGGAGATCGCACCACTGCACCCCAGCCTAGGCAACAGAGGGAGAGTCCATCTCAAAAAACGGAAAACCAAAAAACCAAAAGCCAACAACCAAAAACCAAACCAAAACAAAAGACAAACAGTCCAATTAAAAATTGGACAAACAACCCAATTAAAAATTAGACATTTTCCTAAAGAAGATAAACACCCAATAAACACAGGAAAAGATGCTTAACATGCTTAATAAACATCTTAATAATAAGGCCTATTATTAATCATTAGGGAGATGAAAATCAAAACCACAATGGGATACCATTCATACCACCAGGATGCCTAAAATAAATAACTCAGATAATAAATATTGGTCAGGATTCTGAGAAATTGTAACACTTATACACTGCTCCTGGGGATATAAAATGATAAGGTCATTTTGTAAAACAGTCTAGCACTTTCTGAAAAAGTTAAACATAGTCTTACCATATAACCCAGCTGGTCCACCGTTAGGTATATACCTAAGAGAAATGAAAACATATGTCCACACAAGAATTTGTACAAAGATGTTCATAGCAGCATTGTTTATTATAGCCAAAAAATAGAAATAAATGTCCATTAACTGATGAAATGGTAAGTCAAATGCGGTCTATCAATAAGTGAAATATTATTTTGCAATATAAAGGAATGAAGTACTAATCTATGGTCCACCATGGGTGGACCTTGGAAACATTTAGCTAAGTGACAAAAGTCGGTAACAGATTAATCTATATGGTGGGATTCCATTATATTAAATGGTCATCTCTATAGATGCGGAAAGCAGATTAATGGTTGCCTAGGGCTATGGGAGAGGAGTAAGGAATGTTAATGGATATGGGTTTTTTGGGGGGATGATGAAATTATTCTAAAATTAGATTGTGGTGATAGTTGTACAATTATGTGAATATACTTAAAAGACAATTGCATAGGAAACATACATATACACACAGGCACAGACACACAAACACAAATCAACCAAACCAAACGTATTTACAGATTGAATTTGCCATACAGGTCACTGATTCATGACTGCTATTAGTGGTGGAAAAAAGACAAGACCAAATATTCTTGCTATGACTCACCTTCAGATTAGTAGGAAAGATGAGAAACATACATAAATTATTACAACAAAAGGAAGAATTCTGAAAGTGGGAAGTGCTGGCCCACTTCACAGAGAAAGTGTGTGAATGTGGTGGCCTCGAGTAGTTATTTGGTTTTAAGAAGAGAGGAGGGCATTTATACTTATGTAAAGTATGAAAACATCCTAGTCAAACTCTATTGATGTGATTTTTAGAGATGTACCCTAATGTGATTTTGTACCAAATGCCAAATTATGGAGTCATTAAGATCAATATTACTTTTATCTCAAAACCAAAGCCAAATCCAAATATCACCACAATACAATGAACTTGTGAAATACTAGCATAGATCTAAGGTTTTATTTAAACATTGTTTAATTTATGATTATTCAAATTTTGAGGAGTAAAATTTGAGAAGTTTGACCTTGTAGATCCAGAATAATAATTTCTCCAACCTCCCCACTACTGGATGGCTCATTGTCACTCTGGCCACATGTTTAAGGTACTAAATGCATGTTCTCTTTCATCTAGTATATTTAGTAATGCCATTAATCTTTTTATATCCACCAGAATATAATTCAGGAAAATGTCTTTTAGTTACATGTTTTATAAAATGAACTTAAGGCAAGTCATAAAAGAGTCATTGTCCTCAATATTTGTATAGCAGTCATTTAAATTGTTTTTTTTTTTTCTTAAGACAGAGTCTCACTCTGTTGCCCATCTAGGCTCACTGCAACCTCCACCTCCTGGGTTCAAGCAATTCTTGTGGTTCAGCCTTCTGAGTAGCTGGGATTACACGCATGCACCACAACATGTACTGGCTAATTTTTGTATTTTTAGTAGAGATGGGGTTTCACCATGTTGGCCAGGCTGGTCTCTAACTCCTGACCTATGGTGATCCAGAAACCTTGGCCAAAGTGCTGGGATTACAGGCATGAGCCACCATGCCTGGCCAGATTAATTTTTGTTTAACTTTTGAGCCCATAGATGCAAATCTGCTTAAAGCAGTTTTATGAAATTATTATTTTGAAGTTTAGTTAGTGAGAACAAAATGTAATTTGGGAAACCTATTTTTCTTTAACGCTTTTACTTTCTTCTTTTGTTTATACTCATATTCTTAATTATGTGTAGCTTGAAGATGGTTTATTATGAAAGTCGTAATACAGGATTTCTGATTTTTTCTTCTTCAAGAAATGTTGATGTGGCAAAATTGATATTTGATTTTAATTTATCATCATAAACTATAAAAATTCCTCAGGAGAATAATTTTCATGAAAGTTTTAAGGCTTCCGTGGAATTAGGTAACTGCTAATTAAATACAATTCTTAACGATTTTTTTCTCTCATATTTTAATTTCTAGCTCAATAAACAATTCTACTTGATTAGAGTTATGATACTGGTGGGTTGTCTATGAACCAGACAACAGCATTTCTTAGGAGAACTGCCTTTCTCCTAAGGCGGAGAACCGTGCTTCTCAGAATCCCCTTGGCTGTATGGTTCTGGTTAGAGTTTCCTATTGAGAGTAATTTACATGGGATTTGGAAAATGGAAGCCATGTTCTCAAGAAATCGTGGTGGTCAGACATGGTAGCTTTGCAGACCGCTTCATGAACTCTCACTCACAGTTGTGGTTACTCCACCCTCCCTACAAGCTGTAGATGCTTCATCCTCCAGTACTTCACGTTGAGGTCAATAGTTAACCGTTTCCTGATTTCCTGGCTTTATCTTTTGAGACCTTTACTCATCCCATCTCCTGTCACAATAATGTAAGCCCTAATTCCATATTACATTCCTTGTTTTCATAATTCTTATAGTGATTCTCTCTTTGTGATCAAACCTAGACTGATTCAGCTTTATTCTAATCTCTGTTAATAAACCTTGTATTATTATTTACATTTTTATACTCATCTCTTGTCTCCAAAGTAATGTGGTCTCCCTAAGGTTATTTGGTTCTTGTACTCTCTCCTAATATTAATTTAACTGTCAATGTATTTTCTATTTAACCTTTGGAAATTTCTCAATATTTTTGACCAGTTTGGCGGCTTTTACTGTCATTGATTGTTTCTGTAATTAATTCAGAGAATAATGATGTATCACACATCAGCTGACTGACAGAATTTCAACATATAAAACACATAAGATTTTTCTGTTCAGGTTATATATAGAATGCTTTTATCTATATTTGAATGTAAATTTCCAGAGCTTGGCAATAAATCTGAATGACACATCTTATTTATATTACATTGTTATGCTGATTAGATATGTTGGTAACTTATCAACACTTGTCATTAATTACACACAGCATCAGCGTGCCAATAGTTCTTTAGCTGTATGATGGTCCATTGCAAGGCTGAAGCTAAAGTTAAAGAGAAGATTTTGGCAGAAAGCTGGGCAGAATCTGAATGTCAGTGCATTGTGAGAGTGCTGTGTGCAGATAACTCAAGAAATACTTTCCAACTAATTGAGGATATTAATTATGCTTTACAAAAAACGTGCAGTGTCAAAGATACAGAACATGTATCAGAAAATATAAAATTAAAAAAAATTACCTGGCTTTTTAAATCCCAGTCTTGTTTAGAGAAGGCTTGTTTTAGTTTCCCTCTGAAGTTCACTGAAAGGAGCTGCTTGAGAACTTTCATAATTGGCTCAGCATTTTGCACCAATTAGAATACTAAGGAAGCACCAGTTATTTCATATGGAAAACAAAAAGGTATATTTGAAAAAATAAAATGTCTTCTCATAGTTTAGAGGACACGCCATGGTAAGTAGAAGTTGGCATTAGTTAAATACATTTTCATTTGTAAGAAGCCAGAAATGATTTGTTCTTATTTTCTGTTTCTGAATCATCTCTATGTAACTGTCCTGTACATATCAAAGGAAATGAATTACAATCTTTTGGCAATGTAGCTATGGTCTAGCATACTCATCATATTGTTGTGAAACTTGAGAAATAAAAGTTGTCTAAGTTAGAAATGCATAAAAATTGTAGAGGGTTTTTTGTAGCTCCTAAGAGAAAAATCTATTAATCTGTGGCTTTCCAGGATGTATTCAAGATAACAAGAATAACATTCTTTGACTTTGGTCTGCTGCAAATGGGGCTAATAGGTGACAACTGATGTGTTCAGCAACAGAACAGAAAACAATTTATGGAAATATTCACCCACAGGCATCCTGGGGCCAGCATGGCCCTCCTGCCAAGATTGTTTTCCTCAAGGACCTAAGTACTAATAAAAAGTGGTGCAGACGCATTAATCAAAAAGAAAAGTTTTAAGGAGTTTATTTTTGAGGGTTATTGTCACTGTTCTTAGTGAACTGATAATCTTAATTGGGTATAATTGGAATTGATCCAAATTCTTATTTGGGAATTGAATTGCTTTAGTGATTAAACAAAGTAACTGAGGTCACTACCCTATTCAATGAGATAGTTTTGGCATGTAATTAATTATAATCTCATTGTAAATCCTTTTGATTTAAAGATTAATGCTGATTATTTCAATTATGCTATTCATTTTTTTAAATTAAAATTAAGACAAGCAACAGATCACTGTAGAATTTCAAGATGTTGATATTTATTTAAAAAGCCAATTTTAGGCCAGGTGCGGTGGCTTACGCCTGTAATCCCAGCACTTTTGGAGGCTGAGGCGGGTGGATCACCTGAGGTCAGGAGTTTGAGACCAGCTGACCAACATGAAGAAACCCCGTCTCTAGTAAAAATACAAACTTAGCCGGGCATAGTAGCGCGTGCCTGTAATCCCAGCTATTCAGGAGGCTGAGGCAGGGGAATCTCTTGAATCCGGGTGGTGGAGGTTGCGGTGAGCTGAGATCATGCATTGCACTCCAGCCTGGGCAACAAGAGTGAAACTCCATCTCAAAAAAAAAAAAAAAAAGGCAGTTTTATTCTTTGATCAAAAGCAATGGATTTAGTATAACTACCTTTATTCTGTTATATTGGATAGGGAAGAGGCATAGGGGTTACATATTTTGTCACAATTATTGTATCAATTTTTCTTGGGTTATTCATTTTATATATATATATATATATATATATATGCATTCACACACAGAGAGATTAACAATAAACTATTTTAATAAGGATGATTGACTTTACTATTCCTCAGGCTCAGATTAAGTAGTTACGGCAAGCTTTTTCATGACATTTCAAACCAACTGAAATGAATGATTTTAAATATTTTCTCACAGTCAGAGCTACTATTCTATTTAGCATTTTACAACTCATATTCAATATGTTTTTTTCCCTAAATATTAAGAAGGATAATGTTAGAGGTTAGCATTATATGTCAGTATGTTATTTGCTATATATGGGTATTATAGATTTTTATGTTTGTTTATTTTTTAAATATCAAAATCTTATAAAACCTATTACTAGTTTAACATTTTCATGTATAGAATGTATTTACAAAGTGACATATAAGAAAATTATGTATTTATTTCTTAGGAACAGAAATAACACCAGTACAATACCAAAAGAGATTTAATTTTCTGAAGCATATCATATGCTAATAATCAATTTGAATAAATGAATTACATGAATAAATATCATGTAATCATAAGAGTGGTTTAGTTCCTTGGTCTGCTTCCTACAAAATGAATCGAGTGGAGTTCCAGTTATGCTGATGATGAACTTCAAGGCATTGGTAGTTAACAGGCAATAAAACTCATTTGCCCTTTGCCCTCTGGAATGGGCTGTTTGATTTCCGCCAATAAAGAGTAACGGGGAAGACACTGAAATGAATGCCAGAGACAAAGTTAGGTAAAATAACTAAGGTGAAAGTGGGCATCCTTGTCTTATTCCAGATCTTAGCGGAAAGGTTTTCAGCTTTTCCCAGTTCAGGATGATACTTACTGTGGACTATTATGTATCCATAATAATTAAACATACAAAAAACTAGGAAGAGGTGTCAAACTACAGGGTAAGAAAATGAAAGACAAACTTGGCCATTGTTTGAGCTTCAGAGTCTATAGCACTAGCACTGAGTTTTAGGATGAAGCAGAGTGAGGACAAAAGGACTCTGATGCCCAGAAGCTAGCGGGGCTTCTGACCTCGACCTTCCTATTCTCAGCTAACACTGCCCCGCCCCTGAAGGTCAAAACAAAAGTGTAGGAATTTCCCTTGTTTCCATCCCAGACAGAGCTCTACACTGTTTTCTCTTTCTTATGGGGGGACTGGATCAAGCCTAAAGGTATAAATTAAGTTAACAAAATGTAAACTGTTCAGAGATAATAGCATTTTGTTAGTTGATTCACGAAGATGAATCTTAAATGCAAATGGTTTGTCAAGGAGGAAGATAGAATAATTTCAGGACTGTTGTAAATTATTTTGTCAGCTACCTATTTAAACCCTATTGCCGTGAGGCCTAAGAAGAATTTTCTCACCTAAAGAGGATCTTTGGGGTCTTGTAAATCTCTTCTGTAACCTCTTTGTCTACCTTAAGGCTCTCAGGGTCACACAATTTCTACAAATGTTGATTATGTGAAATAAATCCACATTCTGAACCTGTGAGAGCACCAAAATAGTTAAAAATGGATGTAAAATCCCCACATTCACATCGCAGTGTTTATTCCATTTGCTGTACACAGAGAAATTTTCCAAACCAGTGCCTCAGGTGGGAACTAGATCTTAAACCTACTCTTAATATTAGAGCTCAGAACTAACCATATAGTTTATTCATCCTAATCTTAAATCTTCTGTTTCAATGGAATATCAAAGATAAAGCTAAAAAGAAAATATTTTAATATTTGGAAATATACTTTTTAATGTGTATGGTTTCTCTAGAAAACAAATGTCCTATCAGCTTATGTCTAATACAGTGAGATTAGAAGGAATGCTTACTATGTCTGTTTTACATTGGGTTAAATTCTACAGCTGTTGCTATCCAGGCAAGGTCCTGAAATCTTAACTAATATATTAAAACTAATAGCTTGACATCTTGTTTCTATACCAGTTATCTACTTATCTAATGCTGTGGCTGTGAAGGTTAGCACACCATTCACAAGGGTCTCAGTTTTAGTGAGAATTTAAGGAGAAAATAGCATCATATGACAAAGGTGTGTTTCGTCTGCTTATCCAGTGTTCTAAAATTATGGGAGGACAATTGGGGTCTTGAATGGGGCCCAAAGAAGTCTGTTTTGTCAATTACCTAGTTATCTAACTGAAGTTTGCTCTCTAATGAAAACTAAATTGCCTACTTCTATATTGCATAATCTTTAACAGTTGAAACCAAACAGAATACATCATCAATCTTCCTCAGATAGGACCCGTACATTTTCACAAAGGCAGGATATTTTCTGTTGATAGTACTCACATAGGAAACTGCTTAATGCACCACAACATTTTTTAAGGTATGGTTCATGTCTCTTGTTTAGTGAAGCATTTGAATGATAATCAATTTGACTGATAATCCATCAATGAGGTAAGGTGTAAATGGGAGCATGCACTCTGACCTCAGATAATGTTAACCTATATAAGCCATTGAGCTGGGACATTAAGTATAACTTTAGTTATGCCTAAATTTACTTGTGGAAAATACATCATTTTGATTATTGTTTACTAGCAATTTATTAGCATTTCATAACACTTAATTATGAAAACAAAACATAATTTATCAAGTCTTTTAATTCTCAGGTTTCTGAAAAGCATTTTGGCCAGACATGGAAATGATTAACCCCATCATTTCATTATCCATCTACTCATCCATACACACTTACATACTTACATAATGTAAAACATTATGACACGCCTGCAGTGTTACGTGCTCTGCTTTATGATCTGAAAATATGATAGTGAATAAGACAGGTACCTACTCTCAAGATGCTTATAGTCTATATTTAGGAAATGTTTGGGTAGCAGACATTATTTGATTGCCTTCCTGGCATCTAGTTGTTACTTCCTTTTTCTCAACACGGGTTTGGAAAACTATGACATTTGGTGAAGCTGTTGTTAAACTAACCACCACATTTTGTCTCTCTGGTTCAGTTGTGAGCATGGGAGCTACACTGGTTCAACTAGAGTAAATATGTGGACTTTTGCTTAGAATTAAATTAATGGTGCTATTTGTCCTATTATAATCGTCCATGAAAGAGAATTCACATTATAGAAAAACAGATGAGACTCAGGTGACTTTTAGCCAATAAATGGACCAGCTCTCTTAGTGTATTTAGTCATAACAAATGTGTGTCATGATGTCATCCCATAAAATGCACATTAGAAATTCTAGAATTACTTTAATTTGTTAAAACACTAAGTGATGGAATTTGCTTTATTTATCGGATTTGGAAAGAACTATGAATTAAAAAAATAACATAAAACTAAATTTCCATATACATTCTTGTTAAGAAAATCTGGGGCAACAATTTGATGTGACATTGTTACCTAAAGCAGCTCAGGAATTCATAACTTTAAGAATTAGTTAAATAAAAATTCCTTTAAATCCAGCTGAGAGGTTTAACCACTTGAGAACAAGGCCAGAAATGGGAGAGGTAGAGGCAAAACACCCAAGAACCTAGTAAGTATGAAATAGGTAGTTGAGTGGGTAAGTGAGAACTTTAAGACTCAGCAGTCATTTAGAATTAAAATACCTTTCACTGATTTTTTAATATCTTTTAAAGAATAGTTCCCCTAATCCTATTATTCCTGATCATGACTATTGCTTTTCAGGGCTAGAGTTACAACTTCATTTTACCAAATTGTTCCTTTTGTTAGAATCTTGCACTTGGAATGTAATATCATTCCTCTTGGTGGAAACTGACGCACTTTACCATGTGTTTGGAAAGCCCTTCCATAGCTGGGGGGCAACCTGAGCAATGTTTATCACCCATTCCAAAGGGGGTTATGGGTGGAAACCAAGACTAGATTCTAATAACTCAAAGCATGTAAGAAGACTGGATTCTGGTAACTCAAAGCACCTTGAACTGTGTTTGTGTAAACTCTGGGCCATATGGGATACCACCCACCTATGGGAGACATCATAATGGAGAAGTTTACCAGTAGATTGAAACAAATGCAGATGATATTGAATAGACACAAAGCCAGACTGCAGGTGTTTGGTGTGTTGACAGAGTTAAAAAAATATGCTAGAACTGAGCTTCTCAAATGATCTGTGGTAAAAGTCCAGGTTTTTGTGATATGGTTTGGCTGTGTCACCACCCAAATCTCATCTTGAACTGTAACTCCCACAATTCCCACATGTTATGAGATGGACCCAGAGGGTAATTGAATAATGGCGGCGGGTCTTTCCCATGCTGTTCTCCTGATAGTAAATAAGTCTTATGAGATCTGTTGGTTTTAAAAGAATGGGAGTTTCCCTGCACAAGCGCTCTCTCTCTTTGCCTGCCATCATCCACTTAAGATATGATTTGCTCCTCCGCCTTCTGCCATGATTGTGAGGCCTCCCCAGCCATGTGGAGCTGTAAGTTCATTAAACTTCTTTTTCTTTGTTTTTTTTTTGTAATTGCCCAGTCTTGGGTATATCTTTATCAGGAATGTGAAAACAGACTAATACAGTAAATTAATACCAGTATAGTGGGATGTTGCTGAAAAATACCTGAAAATGTGGAAGTGACTTTGGAACTGGTTAACAGGCAGAGGTTGAAACAGTTTGGAGGGCTCAGACTAAGACAGGAAAATGTGGGAAAGTTTGGAACTTCCTAGAGACTTGTTGAATGGCTTTGAGAAAAATACTGATAATGATATGAACAATAAGTTCCCGGCTTAGGTCGTCTCAGATGGAGGCGAGAAACTTGTTGGGAACTGTAGCAAAGGTGACCCTTGTTATGTTTTAGCAAAGAGACTGGTGGCATTTTGCCCCTGTCCTAGAGACTTGCAGAACTTTGAACTTGAGAGAGATGGTTTAGGGTATCTGGGGGAAGAAATTTCTAAGCAGCAAAGAATTCAAGAGGTGACTTGGGTGCTGCTAAAAGCATTCAGTTTTATAAGAGAAGCAGAACATAAAAGTTTGAAAAGCTTGCAGCCTGACAATGTGATAGAAAAGAAAATCTCATTTTCTGAGGAGAAATTCAAGCAAGCTACGGAAATTTGCATAAGTAATGAGGAGCTGAATGTTAATACCCAAGACAATGGGGAAAATGTCTTCAGGGCGTGTCAGAGGTCTTCATGGTAGCCCCTCCCATCACAGGCTTGGAGGCCTAGAAAGAAAAAATGGTTTCATGGGCTGGGCCCAGGGTCCCTGTGCTGTGTACAGCCTAGGGACTTGGTGCCCTGCGTCCCAGCTGCTCCAGCCAAGGCTAAAAGGGGCCAAGGTGCAGCTTGGGCTGTTGCTTCAGAGGGTGGAAGCCCCAAGCCTTGGCAGCCTCCACATGGTGTTGAGCCTGCGGGTGCACAGAAGTCAAGACTTGAGGTTTGGAAACATCCACCTAGATTTCAGAGGATGTATGGAAATGCTTGTATGTCCAGGTGGAAGTTTGCTGCAGGGTCAGGGTTCTCATGGATAACCTCTGGTAGGGCAGCGTAGAAGGGAAATGTGGGGTCAAAGCCCCCACACAGAGTCCTTGCTGGGGCACCACCTGGTGGAGCTGTGAGAAGAGGGTGACTGTCCTCCAGACCCCAGAATGGTAGATCCACTGACCGCTTGCACTGTGTGCCTGGAAAAACCACAGACACTCAACACCAGCATGTCAAAGCAGCCAGGAGGGAGGCTGTACCCTGCAAAGCCACAGGGTCAAAGCTGCCCAATATCATGGGAACCTACCTCTTGCATCAGCATGACCTGGGTGTAAGACATGGAGTCAAAGGAGATCATTTTAAAGCTTTAAGATTTGACTACCCCGCTGGATTTAGGACTTGCATGGGGCTATAGTTCCTTTGTTTTGGACAGTTTTTCCCATTTGAAACAGCTGTATTTACCCAAAGCCTGTACCCTCAAAAGGTTTTACAGGCTTATAGGTGGAAGGGACATGCCTTGTCTTTGATGAGACTTTGGACTGTGGACTTTTGAGTTAATGCTGAAATGAGTTAAGACTTTGGGGGACTGTTTGGAAGGCATGATTGGTTTTGAAACATGAGATTTGAGAGGGGCCAGGGGAGGAATGATATGGTTTGGCTGTGTCCCCACCCAAATCTCATCTTGAATTGTAATTCCCACAATCCCATGTGTCATGGGAGGGACCCAGTGGGAGGTAATTGAATCATGGGAATGAGTCTTTCCCCATGCTGTTCTTGTGATAGTGAATAAGTCTCATGAGATCTGATGGTTTTAAAAAATGGGAGTTTCCCTGAACAAGCTCCCTCTTTGCCTGCTGTCATCCACATAAGATGTGGCTTGCTCCTCCTTGCCTTCTGCCATAATTGTGAGGTGTCCCCAGCCATGTGAAACTGTAAGTCCATTAAACCTCTTTTTTTTAATTGCCCAGTCTCAGGTATGTATCTATCAGCAGTGTGAAGACAGACTAATACACTTTGCTTTCAGAAAAGTTTTATGTCCATATATCTCTTCTGCCTTGGATGGACACTTTCGTAATATAAATGAAGTACTAGAAAACTTAAATACAAAGCTCCATTTTTTATGGATTCAATAGACATCAAATATTCTGTCAATTTCCTATAGAAGTTTCCAGATGCCCACAATTTGGAGAGCACTTTAGTAGAGTTCATCTTGTAATTCTCAAGTGCAAATTAAATGTTTTTCTTATCAAGATAAAATAATCCAAAGAGGTAGCACCACCCTGAGAAAGCCTTAGAGAAATTTCTTTTTCACATCTTAGTTCTGGGGTCATATACTTGCTTAAGAGAACTGGGGTACTACATGGAGAAAAGAACATTAATTCAGATTTTTTGGGGGTCAATTAGAAGAAGAATATCCATTTATTTCTCTTTTAAGAGAATACAAGAGGGGGTGATAGCTTCAATTTTTGACTTTTGAAATAATTTAAGGAAAAGAGATTACTATATATAAATAGACTAAGAACATAGTAATATAAAACTTGAATCTTACTTAAGGCTATATTCAATAGAAAGTAAAAGGGGCCCAGTTGGTGATATGGTGTGGATATTTGTCCTCTCCCAATTTCATGTTGAAATGTGATACCCAGTGTTGGAGATGAGAATAGGTGGGAGGTATTTGGATCAAAGCAGTGGATTTTTCATGAATGGTTTGGTGCCCTCCACATGGTAATGAGTGTGTTCTTGCTCTGCTAGTTCATGTGAGAGCCGGTTGTTTAAAGGAGCTTGGCATCTCCTCTTCTTTCTCTTGCTCTTTTTTGCTATGTGACTCACCTGCTCCCCTTCCCTTCTGTCATGACTAAAAGCTTCCCAAAGCCTCACCAGAAGCTGAGCAGATGCTGGTGCCATGCTTGTACAGCCTGCAGAACCAGCAGCCGAATAAACCTGTCTTCTTTATAAATTACCAAGCTTTAGGTATTCTTTTATAGCAATGACAAAAGGGCTAACCTAGTTGGCAAAATTTTTTATTGATATACACATTTAAAATGTTTTGCCTATTAAAGGGGTCAGATGATTATTTTAGATCCTAAAAAATTAAAGGGGTTACCTGTCGTCTTTGGTCACAGATTTCCCTTTCATTAGTGGATTAAGAATAGTGGACTAATGGCCGGGCTTGGTGGCTCACGCCTGTAATCCCAGCACTTTGGGAGGCCGAGGTGGGTGGATCATGAGGTCAAGATCTCGAGGCCATGCTGGCCAACATGGTGAAACCCCATCTTTACTAAAAATACAAAAATTAGCTGGATGTGGTGGCACACACCTGTAGTCCCAGATACTCAGGAGGCTGAGGAAAGAGAAGTACTTGAACCTGAGAGATGGAGATTGCAGTGAGCTGAGATCGTGTCACTGCACTCCACCCTAGTGATAGAGTGAGAGTCTATCTCAAAACATAAAATAAAATAAAATAAAATAAAATAATAAAATAAAATAAAAGTGGACTAACAATGAATATTGAGTCTAAAGATGTTGCAGGGGAAAGTTATGAGGAAGTTTCTATGCTGTGGAACTTGGATTGATCCTGTGGAAAATGGAGAACAATTCAAGAATTTTAAACAGAATGGCATGATCTGACTACTTTTCTATTTTTTGAAAAATTTTCTTCGTTATTGAATGGAGAATGTATTGGGGGTGCAATGGGAGATGTACATGAGTATTAGAGATGAGGAGGCCAGGTAGCTGGTGTTAAAATACAGTTGAAAGGTAATGGATACCTGAATTAAGACAGTAAAGGGGGGCGGTGGGGGGGGGGAAGAGAGAAAGAGAGAGAGAGAGAAGAACAGATTTAGACTCTTCAAGTACTTATGTACAGGTGAGTGATTGAATACGGTGTTTAGGAAGAAGCAGAATTCAGGGCAATTTTTAGTTTTCTGTCTTGGTCAAAGGCACGTGGTCATGAACTTCATAGAAATGGGTACACAGAAAGAAGGAAAAGGAGTTAGAATAAGGAGGGGTGGGACTGATTCAAATTCAGCCATGTTGAATTTGGGATTATTGTGAATTCTGGAGCTAATTATGAGTAATTGGAAAAGGGATGCTTCTTTTGACTTTTGGGGCATAGTAACTAGAAAAATCATAATTACATAAACAGTTTTAAACAAACTTCTTTGAGACATTTGGTCTATAAAAACTGCAAAGATTTAAAACAGATTCAATATTTTTCTGCCAAGTCCCTGTATGTAATAAACATGTTTCAAAATCAGAAAGAATTGGGAGGCCAGCTAGGACAATACTGATGTCAGACTGAACCAAAATCTAAAATGTAGAAGAAGCAAGAAATAAACCGATTATATTAACCAAACCTTAGTTTTCTGTACAACTTCTATATCAGAAACTTTATGAAATATGATGTTTTGCCTATTTTAAATTTGCACTCTGTGTTTAAAGAAGAATGTGCAAAGTGAACATTCTTAAATAACAAAAACAACTATAAAGAAGTGTAGAGGGGATCTGTAATGACTTCTGAAGAACTTGGAATCATCTGAGATAGGTAAGATAATATAAAGGAAAGAATTCTGAACTAAGCTTGAGTCATCACTTAACTGGCTCTGAGATTCTGATTATTTATGCCTGCTTTTATTCAATCATCCATCAAGCATGTATCAAGTACTTGTTAAATGCCAGGTTCTGAGAATACCAAAAATAAATAAATAAATAAATAAGGCATTCTGGGTTAAGTGAGGAGGGGAAGACCCACATACCATTACAATTCAATATGATAAATGTGATCAGAGCAGTCACTTAAACAGCTGTGGAGAGACAGCCTAACTCCTCCAGGGCCAGGAGTGAGCTTGGAAGAATTTTCTGCTCTGGGCAGAAACAGAAAGGAAACACTGAGAGTCATGTTTTGTTCTTAGAATAAAATTAGAAAAAGTATGGGGTAGTTTTATGTTTTTATTCTGGTCATGATAAGTGGTTCCTTATTGAGGTTATATGGTGGTTAATTTTTTGTGTCAACTTGACTGGGCCACAGGGTGCCCAACTATTTAGTTAAACATTATTCTGAGTGTGTCTGTGAGGGTGTTTTCTGATGAGATTAACATTTGAGTCAGTAGAGTAAGGAAAGCAGATGGTCCTCCTTACTGTGGTTGGTCCTCATCCAAACAGGTAGAGGCCTGAATAGAACAAAAAATGGATCCTCCCACAAGTAAGAGATCATTTTTCCTGTTGCAGGGCCTTCAAATTGGGACATCAACTTTTTTTTTACCCATCTTTGGACTTGAACTGAACATCTGCTCTTGGATCTGGAACTACACCATTGGCTTTTTAGGTTCTCAGGCCTTAGAACTCAGTCTGAAACTAAACTATGGGTTCTGCTGGATGTCCAGCTTGCCAACTCTACCTGCAGGTCTTGGGACTTTCCAGCCTGCACAAATGTGTAAGCCAACTCCTTGTAATCTCTCTCTTTCTCTCTCTGTCTCTTGCCTTCCCTCTCTCTCTTGTTCTTTCCCTGTATAGACAAACATACATACATACAAACATCATACAGGTTCTTTTCTCTGGAAAACTTTGACTAATACAAGTCATTTAGTTGAAGTGCTGGCGTTGCTCCTGAAAGTTCTGTGTTTTTGAAAAAAACTAAAGAGAAGTTTGCAACTTAGACCTTGGAAAACCCAAGCAATTGGATTAAACAGCAATTGATAGTGGTTGAAATTTAAGATCAGTTTACCATTCTGAGAAGAAGGGGTCTGTTTGTTTCATTTAAAAAATTTAAAGGTAAATAGTGAATTTTTTTTTTTTCTTTTTGGAGACGGAGTCTAACTGTCGTCCAGGCTGGAGTGCAGGGGCGGGATCTCGGCTCACTGCAACCTCCGCCTCCCAGGTTCAAGCAATTCTCCTGTTTCAGCCTCCTGAGTGGCTGGGACTACAGGCACATGCCACCACGCCTGGCTAATTTTTGTATTTTTGGTAGAGGCGGGGTTTTACTATATTGGTCAGGTTGGTTTTGAACTCCTGACTTCAGGGGATCTACCTGCCTTGGCCTCCCAAAGTGCTGGGATTACAGGCATGAGCCACTGTGCCTGGCCAATATTGAAATTTTTGTTATTATTGAAGTTTCATTATTTGAAAAATGAATTGAGCAATAATAAAAATATGAATCACCAATGTTTCAATAGAAATATTGGTAGGTTACAATCCTGATGTTTGCATCCTAATTTCACCCCAGCCAGTTGGCCTGGCTTTGGGGTTAACAAAAATATTTAAATATGGACAGAAGAGAGAAGTATACATTTTTTTCTATTTTTTAATAATCAGTATTGCCCAGGTTTATTCCCCAATAAATCCTCCCCCTTCTTACCTGCTGAAGGTGTACATTTTTAAATCAGGTACACAGGTAACTGATTAAATAAACAATTTGAATAAACAAAGCTCTACTTACTCTAGGACAGAAATTTATGAAGTAAGAATTTTAATCTGCTTTTCAAATAATCTAATAAAATATTTGCAATATTTGTGTAAATATGTTAATAAAAGTAGGGATAGATTGAAGGGACCTAAATAGCTATAAAATAGTTGGTTAAATAAATAATTATGAAATACTATGCAGCCGTCAGAAATGGTGTTGTTAAACTCTAATTATGACATGAGAGGATGCTAAACCTGTCTACATATGAAATTAACATGTAATAAATTGTACCAGTATTCCTGTTTAGAAAGGAACTGTCTTTGTGAAAACACTTAGGATGAGAGAGAACCTGCTTGCGTGAATGAAGGCAAATGAAGAATCAAAGGAACTATTCTGTCTGCTCTGCATGACGACCTAGGAGCAGAGGAGAATGACGGGACAGAGGACAGAAGGTCCAGCGAGATGTTGTGAGAAAGGGATTGTTTATAATTCAGGGCTAGTGCAAATTTCCTAGTAGGCGGCTTACCAAAGGACCCTTTAGAACCGTAGATGTGTGATGTTTGATTTAAATGTTGGTACTGCTATGATGTAATCTTTTTTGTCTTCCCACTAAATCTTCAGTAAAGTCTGCTCCCAGGTGCTATGTATAAAGTGGGACTTTCTGCATAAATCAAAGAGGAGGCTGAATTTGATATCAAATGTGGAAGGAATGTAAGAAGCCTGGAGCCTGAAGCAGAGGAGTTCAGGAGAACAACTGTGAATTTTGAGGCTTCATCCACAGAATGTGGATTGAGGGTTTGAGCTAATGTTATTTAGATCTGATGGGGTAAGGAGGAGGCATTAGCTGACACTGATATGTGATATGTAGATGATCTTAAATCATACTTTTTGTGCAAGTTTGAGGCTACACTCAAATGTGCACACACATTTACATGAACGAACAAAGATGAAAACATTGTACAGCAATAAGTAAACTGTGCTTCTGGGAGGTTGGATTTAATTTCTTCTTTATATATTTTTTCTCTTGAATTTTTAAAATAAGCACTTTTTGCTTTCCAGATCAGAAAACAAAAATATTTGCTTTGAAAAACACTATTTTGCTTTGCTTCTAGAACAAAATTTAATCAAGCAGACGCTGAGCTTTGCAAGAACAGGGAAATATCATGGACCCACCTTATGCATTCTTTGTAAATTCTGTGTGATATTTGATATGTATTAGAAATGGTACGTACGTTGCAAGCTTTTTTTCCTTTTCTCTTGTTGCTTTGCCTTAGATAGGTAAATCATAGCTTTGGAAGGTTTTATGAGGTAGACTGTATCATGCTTTTTAAAGCTGTGCTTCTGCTTGTGGTATTTGTCCCCTTTTTCCTCATCCTCGCAAATACACTTTGAATGTCACTTCCTTCTTGGAAAGCTGTATCCAGCTCCAAGAGTGCTTGTTTGTTTTGTCTCTGCGCCTATGGTGCCTTGGGTATACCTGAAACAAGGTTCTTATTACAATATTGTGTGCTTTTTCCTATTTACAGCTGTTTTCTCCACTAGATTATTAATTCCACAAATTTCCATATCACAATTTTTGGAAAGACTATTGGTGTGCCCAAGATTTCTGTGAATTCTCAAGTTCACTTCTGGCCTGAATTTCCTGCCCATACAGAATTTGATGAGAAGTCACCTTGACCCCTCATGTGTGCACTCCTGAGTTAGACAGGACACAGAACCATCTCTTTGTATGCCCTCTGCTTAGCCCAGATCCTGGCATAGGGAAGTTTCTCAGTTTGTGTTGCATGGATAAATACTGAAGTCAAGTGCTTACAATATGGAGCCTACCATTACTCAATTCAGTCATAGCTACAAGGCTGCTCCACTGCATAAACCCATAAAACAGATTTAGAGTAGGCTTTTAACTATACATAGTATAACCACATCAAAAAAATTTTTAAGTACAGATACATTATTGATGCTTTAAATAATTCAAACCTATTAAGAATGAGTATACATGTTATACCATCCCTCCAACACTGATATTTGCAAAAAATCAACACTATCTCTTAACTTCCTAGTGTGATATTTACTTTGCAACACATTTAGAATTGTCCCATCTGTATTAGGTTTAACTTCAAAAATATCTGGGGTCTGTTTTGTATCCAACTTGAAGAGAAAACTGCTCTGTCTTTCCACTATCATCTATTATTATTATGTTTTCTGTAATGCATTATACCATGTGTAACTAATATGTTAGCATTACAGAAAAGCATCTGCTTCTGTTTTAATGTCTTGATAAAAGTGTTGTAAATATTGTAGCTGTATAAGATTCCTTTCCTTAAAGGATCTGTTTCATTTCACCTGGAAACTATCCTAATTCTTAAATCTTTCAGCCAGATGCTGTATCTAGTAGATGAAATGTATGCTTTTAATCAACTTTTTTGTTAATTAGTCATAGAAAATATGCAGCTTTATATTTTTAAAAAGTGGTGTTAACATTCCAAGGTAAACAAAGAACCAATGATATAACATTCATTCCCATACCATACAATTAACATAGTGTTCATATTTATTTAATTACTCAAAACTTGGAAAGTATACTTACAATGTAGAAATAAAGCATTAGGGGCAGCAGAGACCACTGTTCACACGGCCATGTGACTTTATTCAAGGAGCCCTATCTTTTGGAGAGCCACTGTGCATGAGATTTCCTCCTGATGCCCTTTTCACTCAGTGGTAATCACTTTAAACAAGCTTTTGGGGGCAGCTGGAGGGTTGCCCTTTCTCCATTAGGACACATATCCCAGTGGGAACAGAGAGCAGTTAAGGATGAAGCAATAAACTCAAGTTGGGTTATATTCAGTTTGTCGCTTTTAGGTTGGGAAGGAGGGGTCAGAGGTTAATTTCCTGTGCTTTTTTTCTTGGGAAACCTTAGTTTTGCAGAATGTTACAGCTGAAAGTGGATGTAGATATCATCTAGTTCAATAACATTCATTTTGTGCATAAATAGAATCTTATAAATGTTAAACATGTAACCGCAGGGAAAAATAATGTCAATCTGGTATTAAGATCTACATAAGATTATCACAAACTGTCATTTCACTCTTGTAGAAAGACCATTGGTATGCTCATGGTTTTTGTACCTTATCAAGTTACTTCTGGCCCCAACTTCCTGCCAGTACTGAATTGGACGAGAGATCACTTTGACATCTCACATGTGTGCTCCTGAATCACATAGGACTTAATGATTTTTTTCTTAATTTTCCCACAAAACTGTACTCCTGCCATTCAGTGCAGCCCTGCTGTTTCCTTTGTTCCAAAATTCCTACTTGATTTAAAAGCAGAGATTTTATTTCTTGTACTTGTCTTTTTCCTCAAATGGCATTTTTTTTAGTTTACTCTTACAACAGAAGGTGCCAACTCTATCTATTGTCTGTCTACCTGTATCATCTATCTATCACCTGTCTGTCTATATTATGTATCTATTGATGTGAATTAATATAATCTATGAAAGTTGTCAGAACCAAAGTGGAGTCACTTGTCTCAAACCTTAACAAGAGGGAGCTGAGGAAGGCCATGAAGGTGGGGCTATCATGTGTGATTTACCTGATTAACAGGACTTATCATAATAAGTTTTTCCAAACTGCAGCTTGCTCCAGGAGCCACAGAACAGGTAGCATCACAAGGACAGATAGCTGCTTGTACAGAAACAGTTGCTTGAAACGTTGTCTCCACTCATGAACTGACCTGAATTCCTGGATAAACTCCTGGAACCAATGTTCTCTTTGTTTCAAAACAACTTAGATGTACTCCTCTTTTTGTCTTTAAAAACTTCCTCTTGCTTCAACCTCCTTAGATATGCCCGTGGTCCACCATGGCACACATATTCTGATTATAATTCTTGTTATTCCCAAATAGATTTTCATTAGAGAACCTCTCTCTGTTGACAAAAACAGACTTCATTTCCCCATTATTCACTCTCCCACAGAGATAACTATTTCACATCTTCTCCCCTCTCCTCGAACCTCCAGTACTTTGTTCCTTCTCATCCTCTCAAGCTAATGATTCCACTTCTTATTCCACTAAGGAAGTAGAGAGACGCTAAAGAGAACTTTCTCATCTCTATATCACCCGATCAACTAACCTACGTGCATCTGATCCACAAACTCTGCCATCCCTCTTGTTAATATGGATGAATGCACTGTGCTCACACCTAAGGCCAGCCTTTCCGCTTGTACACAATTGTATCTCCAGCACTTAGTGCTATGCTTGGTGCATAACAGATATGAAGAGATGCAATACTTACAAATGACTGACAACACTACTCTTGTCCTAGTTGACATAGATTCAAAGGCTGTCCAGTGAGTAAAATGCTAAGCCTTAAGAGTGTGACTTGTGTTATTTCCATTTCACATCACTAAAAGAGAAAGCTTTTATACTTTCTCTCTGGGTTCAGATTGGATGTGGTTGCCATATATCTGAATTCTCTTTGTTTAATTATTTTATATATATGTATATTTGTGTGTGTGTGTGTGTGTGTGTGATGGAGTCCACTCTTTCACCCAGGCTCCAAGAGCACAGTGGCACGATCTCGACTCACTGCAACCTCCACCCCCCAGGTTCAAGTGATTTTCCTGTCTCAGCCTCCCAAGTAGCTGGGATTATAGGTGCGTGCCACCATGTCCAGCAATTTTTTGTAGTTTTAGTAGAGACGGGCTTCACCATGATGGCCATGCTTGTCTGCTTGTCTCGAACTTCTGACCTCAGGTGATCGACCCACTTCAGCCTCCCAAAGTGCTGGGATTACAGGCATGAGCCACTATGCCGAGCCAGTTTTTAAAAGATTTTTAGGGGTACATTGTAGGTACATATATTTATGGGGGAACATAAGATAATTTGATACAGGCATATAATACATAATCACATGAGGGCAAGTGGTGTTTCTATTATTTCAAGCATTTATCATTTCTTTGTGTGACAAACATTCCACTTATAGTCTTTTAGTTATTTTAAAATGTATAATGAATTTTTGTTGACTATAATTACCCTATTGTGCTATCAAATATAGATCTTATTATATTAACTATATTTTTGTGCCCATTTACTATCCTCACTCCTCCTGTACCCCCCACTACCCTTCCCAGCCTCTAGTAACCATCATTCTACTCTCTATCTCCATGAGTTCAATTGTTTTAACTTTTAGCTCACACAAATGAGTGAGAACATGAAAAGTTTGTCTTTCGGTGCCTGAATGAATTCTCTTTGGTTGAAACAAAAGTTCCAAGGGTTGTACTAGGGGATGAGGATAGGACAGGTAACATGATAGTATCCCTGTTGTCACAAAGTTTGCATTATAGTGAAGTGAACAATTACTTTAATTTAAAATTTAGTTAGAATTTGAGGTACTTTGGACCTAAGTTGGTTAATTAATTAAAATACCAAATTAAACAAACACAAGTGGATAATTTTCTTTTCTACTTGTCTGACTGCATTTTCTTATAGTATATTTATTTGGTTTGATGAGTATTTTTTCTTGTTTTACAATGTCTTTATTACCTGAATTCCAACCACTGCAGCTGCCTTCTCACTATACTTTATCCCATGATGTGTAATTAAGCTGTCCCTTTTCCTGTAATTTAAAAGGTTAAAGAATTGATTATAATCATCACTGTGAGGAAAACCAGCAGGAATAAAATTACAGATAATATTTTTCTTTAATCCAAATGTGTTTAATATATGTTTATTTCAAGCTGATCTCAGGACTTACAGAATAGGCTATGTTACCCATATCTAGCCTTTTAGGCAGAACCACAAACTATCTGTTGAGATAGATTATTATTCTTTTCAATAGTTTTAAAAAAGAGGAACGCTTATCTCTTTCTCTTTTGACCCCATGTTTTATAAATTTAAACCTTTATAAAATTCTTTCTTACATCTTACCTGGCTGTTTTCTGGGGAAATTTAAGCTCAAGTCTTCATAAAATACAAGTTTAACTTTATTGATTTCATTCATCTGACTTTCTTTCTTCAGCCCAAATAATTTAATTTCTCTGAAACTTTCTAAAAAGAAAGATTTGAGAAAAAAGTACTTTCTCTCTCAACTTCATTTTTCTCATTACTTTGTTGTAAACATAACTATGAAATAGCAAAATATCACACAGTATATATTATAAAACAGAATTTTCATTTGCGCCAGATGCAGGAAGTAAATTATCTGCTCCTCATTTTTTTTTAAGTAAAGCTTACTTAAATAACCTGGGGGAAGTACTATAATGAGTGAAACATTTCACCTGTATTAAAAATTTTTACAACTACATGAGAAATACAGTTTTAAATATGTAAGTGTAATCAAGAAAATGGGCTTTGCAGTGAATATTTTGTTTATTTGTGAAGTAATGATTCTCTTCTTAAACTTTCAGTCTTAGAGAAAAATATCTGCACATGAAAAATTATAAACTCTCAGTATTTGACTGCCTGCTGAGTTATGTGTTATGGTATATTAGAAATCTTCAAGGAAGAAAGGATTAGAGTGGGCTTGAGTAACTGGGAAAGCAATCATACTGCAGGTGGAAGTTTAGATTTGAAAGAAATACTAGGATTTGCCTGAGAAGAGAGGAAGATATCACAGAGAGAAAAATTCCGAGTGAAGACACTGGATTCTGGCATGAATAACCCATATGAAGAAACATGGAATTTTGGCTAATAACTCCTGAGAAGAACAGGGTTACATTTAGAAAAAAAAGTTTAGATGGTGCCTTCAAAAAAATGACCTTTCTGATTATCATAGAAAAATATTGATATTTTCTGAGAGCAAAACACCTGACTAATTCTTTTTGTTTCATGCATTTATGACTCCTTTCTATCCATCTGTCTGATCCATTCTGAAATAGGTATATTTTAATATGTATTTTCTTCTGAATATAGTAACACATATAATAATAAAAATAATAGCATCTAGTATTATTCTGTCACTTACTATATGCTAGGAACTGTTTTAGGTGCCTTACAGTATTTACTCAATCTCTTAGAGCAAGCATATAAATACTGCCATTACCTCAATTTTACACATGAGGCAAGTAAGGCACAAAGAGGACAGAAGAGGCTACACATTATAGAGTCACAATGGGCAGAGCCAAGATATGATCCAGAGCTTGTGCTCTTATCGTTATCCAGAGCCTGTGCCCTGGACTTAATCATGTAGGCACTTTTGTTGAGCATCTGCTGAGTGCTTGACATTGTGGGGTATACAAATATTGGACATGGCTCTGCCCTTGAAGAGCTTACAACCTGTTGCTAAATTGTGAGAGAAAGATTTAATAAACTTCAATTAAGAGACGGTTAATGAGATCAGGGAGAGTCAGAGAGATTTGCGTTGAGAGGAGTTGGAGGAATTCACTGGGCTAGAAGACAGGGTTTAGGAGGGCACCAATGGGAGTGAGTATACAGAGGTGGTGTAAGTTTCCTATGGCAGCTGTAACAAATACCACCAACTTGGTTGCTTAAAACAACAGAAATGTATTGTCTCATAGTTGTGGAGGAGAGAAGTCTGAAATCAAGATGCACTCCCTCTGTGGCGTCTAGGGAAGAGCCCTTCCTTGCCCCTTTCTGGCTTCTGGTGGCCTCGGCTATCCTCGGTGCTCCTCGGCTTGGAGCTGCGTCTTTCCAATCTGTCTCTGTCTTCACATGTCCTTCTTTCCTGTGCCTCTGTGTGTCCTCTCCTCTTTTTAGAATGACACCAGTCATTGGATTTAGAGTCCATCCTAATCCAGTATGGCCTCATCTTAATTTAACTAATTATATCTACAAAGACCCTATTTCCAAGTAAGGTCATATTGTGAGATGGGCATTAATTTTAAGGGGTGCTATTCAACCTGGTACAATTGCAACAAGCCCAGGGTTTTGTGGAATGGTGCAGCTACCATGCTTTTTTTTATTTTTTATTTTTTGAGACAGGGTCTTGCTCTGTCACTCAAGCTGGAGTGTAGTGGCATGATCACCGATCACTGCAGCCTGACCTCCCAGGCTCAATCGATCCTCCCACCTCAGCCTCCTGAGTAGCTGGGACTACAGGCTTATGCCACGTCAGGCTAGCTTTTTTGTATTTTTTGTAAAGACAGGGTTTCACCATACTGCCCAGGCTGGTTCTGAACTCCTGGGCTCAAGTGGTCCACTAGCCTCAGCCTCCCATCCATGTTCTTTTTTAAAAAAATTTAATTTTTAATTTTTGGGGCTACATAGTAGGTGTATATATTTCTGGAGTGTATGAGATATTTTGATACAGGCATTCCCACGCTTATTAGAGAAGACAGTAAGTGAGAGATCTTTGGGTTGGGTGAAATGTGACTCGTGTTTTAAGCCACAGGAGTTGGAATGACATTTCTGCATATGTTTCAGTGACAATATGAAACGATTTTATTTCCTGGAAAGTATTATCCATTTCTGGGTCTCATAAAGCCCTTGGTGATTGCCGTGCAAGAAATTAAGCAGATTATTTTTCTGTTGAAATATGCTTCTTTATCTTTCATAAGTTTACATCTTGCTACTGTTTTCCGTGCTTGTCGGTATCCACCTCCTCTTTCTCATATTTTGCAGTGTCATAAAACAGCAATCATTTCTTCAGTGCCTGTTATGTACCCAGCACAGATCTCAGTCTCTATATTTAATCTTCACAAGAAATTTATAAAAACCGTCCTATAATCTTTTTATAGGTGAGAAAACTGAGGCTATTTTTGTTTCATTGCTGCATTTTAATGAAAATGAAATATTCTAGAGATTATTTTACCTCATAATTAGTCATGCAAATTTTAGTTAAAATGTAACCATGTGTTGTGCTACTACCATAATAATCAGATGAATTAGACGCCTTTTATATTTCTTAAGTTCTCAAATGCTTAGGAAATGCTCTGCCTGGAAATGAGAAGCTTTCTTTGATTGCAAGACCAAATTCAATTTCAAAAAATGCTGGAGCTTAAAAATAGATATTGTAGAATCAAGGATATCTGACAGATCTAGTTTTTTAATTCATGCATTTCTCTTGGTAACATAAAGTTACTGGGAACTTGAACTGCTGGCTCTTACATGTACATATTCAGAAAGTGTTATCTTTCCAACAGCTATTTAAAGCTTCTATTTCTCAAAATCCTATGTGAGGAATTCTAGCGGCGTGACTAAGAACATAAATGCTGGAGTTAGCCACCTGACTTGCCACTTTAGTTTGCTACATGAACGTGGAAAAGTTACTTAAACTTTTTGAGCCTCAGTATTCTCCTCTGCAAAGGAAATACAAGGGTAATTAACATATAGGACTACTTTAAAAACTGTATAAAATTGCATGTATTTGCCTGTAACAGAGTAAGTGCTAAATTTATTCACCAACATTTAGTAAAGAACACACATTTACTTCATTATTTATGAAATTTACTTCATGACATTTTTAATGCTTGAGTTTGTGCTTTCAATTTCATTAGTTGGTAGATACATTTTAGTTTACTCTCTTTCAAGTCACAAAATCAAATGTAAAACCCAAGTTTCAAACATAGACAATCCAGTGTAAGGAAATATGGAAGATTTTATTGATAGCCTTGTTAAATGTCATGTAATACATGGATAATTGCTTTTATGGGTTGCTACATAGGCTTTTATAATAGCACATATTAGAGTTTGATGTACTTAGGTGGTTTGGCATCTCTCAGCTTCTTTTTTTTTGTCAAACCTTTACTTTTATTTTATTTTATTTCTTAAATTATACTTTAAGTTCTAGGGTACATGTGCACAATGTGCAGGTTTGTTACATATGTATACATGTGTCACGTTGGTGTACTGCACCCATTAACTCATCATTTACATTAGGTATATCTCCTAATGCTATCCCTCCCCCCTCCCCCAACCCCATGACAGGCCCCGGTGTGTGATGTTCCTCTTCCTGTGTCCAAGTGTTCTCATTGTTCAATTCACACCTATGAGTGAGAACATGCGGTGTTTGGTTTTCTGTCCTTGCAATAATTTGCTGAGAATGATGGCTTCCAGCTTAATCCATGTTGCTACAAAGGACATGAACTCATCCTTTTTTATGGCTGCATAGTATTCCATGGTGTATATGTGACACATTTTCTTAATCCAGTCTATCATTGATGGACATTTGGGTTGGTTCCAAGTCTTTGCTATTGTGAATAGTGCCGCAATAAACATACATGTGCATGTGCCTTTATAGCAGCATGATTTATAATCCTTTGGGTATATACCCAGTAATGGGATGGCTGAGTCAAATGGTATTTCTAGTTCTAGATCCTTGAAGAATTGCCACATTGTCTTCCACAATGGTTGAACTAGTTTACAGTCCCACCAACAGTGTAACAGTGTTCCTATTTCTCCACATCCTCTCTAGCACCTGTTGTTTCCTGACTTTTTAATGATCATCATTCTAACTGGTGTGAGATGGTATCTCATTGTGGTTTTGATTTGCATTTCTCTGATGGCCAGTGATGATGAGCATTTTTTCCTGTGTCTTTTGGCTGCATAAATGTCTTCTTTTGAGAAGTGTCTGTTCATGTCCTTTGTCCACTTTTTGATGGGGTTGTTTTTTTCTTGTAAATTTGTTTGAGTTCTTTGTAGGTTCTGGATATTAGCCCTTTGTCAGATGAGTAGATTGCAAAAATTTTCTCCCATTTTGTAGGTTGCCTGTTCACTCCGATGTTAGTTTCTTTTGCTGCGCAGAAGCTCTTGAGTTTAATTAGATCTCATTTGTCAATTTTGGCTTTTGTTGCCATTGCTTTTGGTGTTTTAGACATGAAGTCCTTGCCCATGCCTCTGTCCTGAATGGTATTGCCTAGGTTTTCTTCTAGGGCTTTTATGGTTTTAGGCCTTTCTTTCAAAAGATTTCAATAATTATTATTAGACTACTGGAATAATTTCCACTTTAGGTAGTTTTTTAAACTTTTGCCGAGCTATTAGTTGATAATGATCTTATGATTTCTTAAATCACAAGATAACTTATTGTCTTCTGGTACGTGCAATGCTTATTCAAAATATTTAAAAATAAGATTTAGCCACTTTTATAAATAGTAATTTTTGTATGTAATGGATCTTATTTGTTGTAGAACATCAAATATTATATATGTTTTCTTCCTCTCTCCATTCCAATATTTCCTTCTGTTAACCAGAGGTATGAATGTTTAAAGTAAAATAATATTACTTATGTTTTCTGTGTCCTTGCAGAACGGTGACTAATTGACAATTGTTACATTAAGCACCACCTATCTCAAAATAACTTATTTTGCAAGTGATTTCTTTGGTTCTCAGAATCTTAGAAATCAGAAGTGGAATTCTATTAGGAGATTTATTTTTATTTCTCTTGTAACACAAGGTGAAACCTCTGGATATGTCTTGAATCAGAAAGCACAAGGCATTTACGGACAGAAGCTAGAAATTAATAGGGACATGTTTTTTGGCTAAATATTTATTTATTAAATATATAAATATATATTTGTTAAATATATAATATATATTATTTATTAAATATATAAATATATATTTATTAAATATATAATATATATTATTTATTAAATATATAAATATATATTTATTAAATATATAATATATATTATTTAATAAATATATAATATATATTATTTATTGAATATATAAATATATATTTATTAAATATATAATATATATTATTTATTAAATATATAAATATATATTTATTAAATGTATAATATATATTATTTATTAAATATATAAATATATATTTATTAAATATATAATATATATTATTTATTAAATATATAATATATATTATTTATTAAATATATAAATATATATTTAATAAATATATAATATATATTATTTATTAAATATATAATAAGTATATATTAAATATTTATTTACAATTCTATCAGCGTTTAGGCTTGTATGGCTAGTTCTAAAATTATCTACTTCTATATAATCAAAATAATAAACTCCATGTGGACTTTTAAGTTGTCATACACAGTTTAGATTTTGTAGTGTCCATAGATCACCATTCTCAGTTGTTACCCCGTGTTATTTCATCGTGATACCTCACTTATAGGAAAAAAATTGAGTAAACTGTCTTCTGAAGATTATAATAGAAAAATTAGTTTCCTTATTCTCATTTTAATTTTAGAAATTTCTCATATTCTAGGCATTATAATTTATCTTTTATATTTGTTTAGATTTGTTTTTAAGTGATACAATTATTGATTTACATTTTAAACCAATATATGCTTTAAATGAACACAAGTCTAAATTACAAGCAATTAGATTTTAAGTTGTTTATTTAAACACTTGATTTACTTATAATAGAAAAATTGATTATTTAAAAATATTCTGCTTTTTAGGGCCAGGCATGGTGCCTCCCGCCTGTAATCCCAGCACTTTGGGAGGCTGCGGTGGGTGGGTTGCCTGAGCCCAGGAGTTTGAGACTAGCCTGGGCAACATAGTGAAACCCCGACTCTACAAAAAATACAAGAGTTAGCCAGGCATGGTGGCATGTGCCTGTGGTCCCAGCTTCTCAGGAGGCTGAAGTGGAAGGCTCGCTTGAGCCTGGGAGGTTGAGGCTGCAGTGAGCTGTGTTTGCACTACTGCACTCTAGCCTTGGTGACAAAGTGAGACACTGCCTCAAAAGAAAAATATCTGCTTTTTAAAAGGTGGTGTTGTATCAATGGGGACATAAAATCACTATACTTTTTGTTTATTCCTGCAAATATTCATAGGAAGTAAAAGAGAGCAGAACACATTAATATAACTTCAGATATACGGTGGACATTGCTTTGTTGAATTGAGTTCAGGGGTTGCCGATGTCTGAATTACTCTGTAAAAAGACAGAATTTGTTTTTTCTTCTGAAAGGGTGGGCACAGGGAAAAGGAGGAAGGGGAAGAGGAAAGAGTAGACAGAGTAGACAGTAAAAAGGAGGGCTGAGCCACCTGATGGGGTGTGTGAAGTGTTCTTAGGCTCTAACATTGAATTTAAATTTTTTTTTGCTGCTTTCAAGTATAACTTCTTCCTCTCTCCAAGATTTTTATTAAAGTCTGCAACAACAAAGGACTTTTGTGTGTGAGTGTAGATCAAGGAGAAGGGTTAGAGGTGAAGTCATAGTAATTTAAATTTAACATTCATTTCCTCATTCTTTTTTAGTAATTAGAATAAAATATTATTCTCATTTTACCTCTTAAATTTTGAAATAAACATTAATATTACAGTATTCACAAATAGAACACAGCAATCTTATATCATTTTCAAGTGACACAAGGGTCGTTTTAAGTCTCCAAGGAATGCATGGCAATGGCAATGTTCATGCAGCTGGTCATCAGCACCCGGCACGGTGGTGTGAGTCAAAGCCTGGAGTAGTGTTAACAGCTCTGAGTGCACATTTACACAACACCATAATGATGGGAAAGTATGATCCATTGGCAATTCACAGGCTGAGTTTACGTCACCAACTGATTTATAGTATGCACTATTATTACCCTGTGTCACAGAATATAGAAGTCAGGCACCCATTTGCATATAGTGGGTATGCAACCATTTGACACCTCATCAAGCATTTGAAAAGAAAAGAGGATTTCAAGTGATATTAATGGTATTAGCGGTAATACTAGGTTGCACAGACTCTTCTTTTATTTGGTTTTTAATGTTTTAACCAGCAATTGTAATCTCTCAACACTGGGGCTTAGTTGTAGTGAGGTCACTGTGTGTCCTTCCTGTAATGTGGTACAGCGTTCATCTCAATTGCTACAGTGTCGTAAAGTTATAATGGGATTATTCTTTCACATGCACAATCCCTGGATTTCAAAATGCAAATCTCAGGAGATTACAGTTAAACACTGTGTTATTGACCTAATTTCTCCGATGGTTTAAATTCATTTATATTTTTATCTGCAAAATTTTATGCTTATAATTGTAAGCTTATTCAGTATGCTCAATATTCTAGTTCATGACAACTCAGCTCCATACCATCCCATTAGATGACCTAGCGGGCTGAATGAATAATTACAGAATCAGTTACATGAATGCCTGCATATACATGTATGTGTACGTATTTAAAACAATAAATATAAATGCTAGTTTTAATTTACATTATATTGAATAATTTCCTGATAGATTAGTTTTCTACTATCTGTGTCATGTCATATCATGGTTTAAGATAACTGAAAATGTTTTTAGGATTGTTGAGAGAAGAGAAAACAGATAGAAATACTTTAGAATAAAATGCTCAATTTTACCATAATATTTAGTACCCGTACAATCTTATGAAGAGATTCATACTACCTACAGTATAAATTATTGGATAATTTATTTCCATTTTTTTGCTAACCAAATTCCCACAACTATGATGTAAAAGATATATATGACTTATTATTTCTGAAATCAAAGTTCATTTTTCTTTCCATTAAGGCAACCATGAAATTTTGTTGATAATAAGATTGCGTTAGTTTAGATTTATTTGTTGCTATAATTTAGTTTTAGAAAGCATTGACTAGGAAAAATTATAATCTGTTAGAGAAGCATATATTTACTTTTTGATGTATTAAAATGAACACTGATTTGCTCAATAAGAATTTGTGTAAATAGTGTTATATTTGGTGTCCAATATGTTCACTTGTATACGCACAAAGAGGGCTCACCGTGGAAAGATCTGTGGGGAGGTTAGATTGGTATCCTCGTCTCCTGAGAACCATTTTACCCCCCACATGCTCCATTCCTCATGCTTCGTTGCTATCTCTTCTTTCAAATATGTTAGCGGTAAAATGGCTTAAGTGAGATAGACAGGTATATTCTGAAAGAAATATATATTTATTATTTACTTAATGCTATGTAAATATTGTAAAATGAAGGAGAGCACATTTTCATGATTCTGGAAATTTTTGTTAGTTTTAAATATATATATATGTTTGAAAACCAATGTCCGTGGCAATCTTGGTTGGCAAATACATTTCTATCTCCAACCCCTTTCTTATGCATCCATTAGAAATCAGAAAAATCAGGCCAGGCATGGTGGTTCACGCCTGTAATCCCAGCACTTTGGGAGGCTGAGATGGGTGGATCACCTGAGGTCAGGAGTTCGAGGCCAGCCTGGCCAACGTAGTGAGACCCTGTCTCTACTAAAAATACAAAAAATTAGCTGGGCGTGGTGGAAGACACCTGAAATCCCAGCTACTTGGGAGGCTGGGGCAGGAGAATCGCTTGAACCCAGGAGGCAGGGGTTGCAACGAGCCGAGATTGCACCACTGTACTCCAGCTTGGGCAACAAAAGTGAAACTCCCTTAAAAAAAAAAAAAAAAGGAATCAGAAAAAATCTTAATTCTCACTTTCCTAGCTTCCCCTATGATCAAGAGTCACTATGGGACACAGTTCACAGATGCAAGTACAGGTATTCTGGGAAAGATTTTACTGGTGGCACACCTTCCTTGTTCTTTTTGTTGATACTGATATAATGTTTGGTACTTTGGAAGCTATTTTGTGAACCTGTGGTAGTAAATATGAGGAAAAGATCCAGAGTACTAGGAATCCAACCCCAGCAGCCAATTCCCTGTACCTGTGTGCCCCAATATGGTAGTCACTAGCTCCAGCTGGCTAATGAGCCCTTCAAGTCCAGCTAGTCTGAATGGGGATGGGCTGCAGGTGTAAAATGTGCACTGAATTTTAAAGCCTTAGTATGAAAAAAAGGAAGAAAATTACCTTAATAATTTTAATATCGATTGCATGTTGAAATGATCATATTTGGATATATTAGGTTAAATAAAAGGTATTATTAAAACTAATTTTATCTGTTTCCTTTACTTTTTTTAAATGTGTCTGCTAGAATGTTTTCTATATATGGCCTGTGCTTGTTTCTCACATTATATTTCTATTGGGCAGCACTTCTCTCCACTTCTTTTTGTGTGAAAAAAGCTATATTTAGGCCAATAAAGTTTGGGCTGGTGGTTATGGCTGAAAGCTTCATGGAAGTCATTGCTTAGTCTTTCCTGTACAAAAGAACAGATGCTGTAGTTGTAATCAAACCCTACTATAGGCTTTACTTTTGTGCTCATCCAATACTACCTTCTGGTTGTTATTAGTTTTAAATGTTCATATGTTTTAAACAGTAAAATGAAGTAGACGTGGGTGCACATCTAGGCTGAACTTCTTATCGCCCATGGATATTAAGCAAGTTATTTAACCTCCCGGTGCCTCAGTTCCCCTAGTTTTAAAACAAACAAGATAATGCCTAACCTAGCTTATAAGACTGTGTAAGAATTAAGTGATAGAGTTTATATGAAGTGGGTAACTTGTATGCTTTGTACATAGTTGTTGCTTAAGGTGTGGTAGGTCTTATTAGAAAAGGGTAAATCTCAGGGTCTCTAGCAGTATTTGAGTCAATAAAGGAGTGGGTGGAGGGAAAGTTGTTAAGAAAATGTGTAGCTGGTCATTGTATTGAGTGGTGAAAACTTGATGTCAGGCTCAGGAGGGCTCTGGGTGGGAGACAAGGCTTGGTCCTCCTTGAGGGTCCTGCCAGAAGCCCCTCTCCTACTCTTAGCTATCGCCTTTTCCATTTTCTCTTTGCAAGGCCAGTGAAGTTTGGGATCCAGCCCGCATAAAAAATTGGGAATAGTTGTCGGGCGCGGTGGCTCACGCCTGTAATCCCAGCACTTTGGGAGGCCGAGGCGGGCAGATCAGAAGGTCAGGAGATAGAGACCATCCTGGCTAACACGGTTAAACCCCGTCTCTACTAAAAAATACAAAAAATTAGCCGGGCGTGGTGGCTGGCGCCCGTAGTCCCAGCTGCTCCGGAGGTTGAGGCGGGAGAATGGCGTGAACCCGGGAGGCGGAGCTTGCAGTGAGCCGAGGTCGCGCCACTGCACTCCAGTCTGGGCGAGAGAGCGAGACTCCGTCTCAAAAAAAAAGAAAAAAAAAAAAAAATGGGAAAGCAGTGCAGCCCTAGTCAGGAAAGGAAAAGCAGTGTGATGATGAACTTACAGAAAAGAAGCTTGTTTGACTTAGGGAATATGTACAATTTGTTTTTTGTTTATTTTTCTGAGTTTGCCCATGTTGGCACACATGTTTAGGAAGATAGTTTTGTATTATCTTAAATGTTTTAAAGGAGAAAGGGAAAGATAAGAGTAGTAAGACCAGAGTAGTAAATAGTATTAATGCTGATATGGGGGAGATGTAGGCCTCCGGCAGGTGCTCTTGAGAGAAAAGGGAAATCCACAGAAATACAACCATAATCATCCATGCATTTTCCCCGCCACACCACACACTACATGTGGCCCCCAAAACATCCAACGGCTAGCAGTATCACTGCTGAGATACATGATTTAATAAAAGAGTCAGTGATATTGCAGTGAATATTTCAAATGCGACATTTTAAGAAGAGCACAATTGAGAAAGAGAGGAACTTAAAACGGATTAAAATTTAAGCAATTCCCAATCAAATGGAAGTGTTCTGGGAAGAGTGCCAGAGAGTATTGTTGAACTGGTTTTAATAAAAACATTCTAAATTTATCCAGCTGAAATTATTTACAATTTTTTGAAATTACGTATGTGGATACGTTGTATGGACACTTAAAATACAATATTTATTCTTTTTAAAAAACCAAAACCTGCTCTTGTTGGCTGAGGATTCAGGGGATATAGTATGTTCAGAATGCAGAATCCCTGAATTTTAAGATGGATCCAAATCTTAGAGGTCAGTAAAGTGCAATTCTCTTTCTTGTTGGTAGGAAAATGCATCTGAGGAAACTGAGGCTTATCATCAGTAAGCAAGTTCTGCATCAGGGCAGAACATAGCTTTGCTCGTGCCCGAGTGAGGGCCTCTTTTCACAACACACAGCTGCCTTACAGGTAAACACTGTGACAAGCTGCCAGGGGCCTGCTCTCTCTAAGAACAGATAGGCTCTTCTGTTAACCTTACTGGGTAACAGCTGTGCCTTTTCACAAGTGCCTAGGGGTAAAATTTAGATTGTCTAAAGTAGTCATAAACGTGGAAGATATCTGAAACATTCTCATGGGCTGGAGAAGTAGCTTGGCATTATCTATAATGCAGAGGTCATGTCTGTGGAAATAGACCGAAGGCTGTACAAGCTTCAAGTCCATTCCACATGCTATCTTGGTAAATGTCTGATTGATGTTTAAAAATAAAAACAAAAATAGTCCACTGTCCAAGGAACAACAACAACAATAAAAAGATACTGCCTCCTCTCCCCACTCCTTTTATATAGAGAAAAGTTGGATTGCAAAGAAAGATGCAGTACAGCAAGAACACGATGTGTGTTCACTCTAGGTAAAGCATTCCATGTGTGTGGCTGGCACTCCTGGCTTCTCAAACACTCCTTTCAGCCCGTTTTGCAGTAACCCCTAAGTCTGGCTAGCACCCATCCACCAGATTGCAGCCAGGAAAGGAAACCAGAGGCAGCTGCCTGCTGAGATCTCAGTCCACCCATTTTCCGTTACAGAAAGGTTGTGAAGTCCTACTTCAGAGGTGCTCGGAGCTGCATCTCTTGCACCTGCAAATGGCTGTGGGCATTGAATTGCTCTCACAGTGAGGAGTGGGATGGCAGAGGGGAGCTTGTTGGCCCCAGAGCGGGGAAGAATTGATTTTGGTTGCTGCTGAAAAGCTGGTAGTAGAAGCACTGGGGAAAAATTGCAAACTATTAAAGGACATTAAAGAGGTAGGGTACCAAACAGGAACTATTGGCTTATTTAAATACCAAATAAACAATTGAAAGTCCAGCAAAATATAAGAGGAGTATAAATTATAGATCTCATTTCTAATCTCAGGAAAACAGATCCTCTTCTATTCTGGAAAACTAAGAATCTAAGCCTTCTTCCCTGACAACCAAAACGAGTTTTCTTTAAAGACCTAAGACCTAAGACTGTGTGTGTGTGTGTGTGTGTGTGTGTGTGTCTGCAGGTGAACATGTGATAAATGCATCTGTGAGTGTGAGAATGTGTGTATGAGTCTGTGCGCATCTATGTGGATATGAGTATATGTGAGTGTATGTATGTACAGGTTTGTGTGTGTCTATAAGTGTGTATGTGAGTGTATATATGAGAGAATGTGTATGTAAATGTGTGATTGTGAGGATGTGTGTACAAGTTGTGTGTGCATGTGTTTATATGTGCATATATGACTATGTGTTCAGTGTGAGAATGAGTGTGTAAGTGTGTGAGTGTGAGAATGTGTGTACAAGTTTGTGTGCATACTTGTGTATATGAATGTGTGTATGTTTGTGTGCGTAAGTTTGTGCATACATGTGTATATGAGTGTGTGTATGTGTGTAAAGAAGACTCACAAGACAAAAGGGCTTGCTTTCCTTAGCCAGTGCACATGCTGAATACATATGCCAAGACATTCCAAAGTGGCTTTTGTTTAAAAAGAAATGTGAAGAAAGGAATCAGTATAAGAAGAAGAGTTAGTGGCTGAAGTCTTATTACCATAATTATAGATAACGAGATTTCTGCCTACTCATATTAGTTTTTTTTCACCTTTGTGTATAGGGATGGTCTTTAGTTTGTTTTCATATGTCTGATGGTAACTAATGTAATACCTTATGTTATAAATACTTGGTCAAATCAATAAAATATACTTCATCCAATACCATGCTCTCATATGCTGAGAGTCCATAGTTATAGGACCTGGTATTGGACTTCTTTTTCACCCCGTGGTTTGGTCTCTAGGTGGAGGTCCTTTCAATGTGGAAACTGAAATCTCTTAATTCTGGAAAATTTATTGACTTACCTTTTGAACCTCATTTTCTCCAATTTTTTATTTTCTCTTTCTAGAGCTCTTGTTATTTATTGAATTCCCCATTGATATGGTTTGGCTGTGTACCCACCCAAATCTCATCTTGAACTCTAGTTCCCATAATCCCCACATGTCTTGGGAAGGACCTGGTGCGAAGTAATTGAATCATGGGGGCAGTTACCTCCATGCTGTTCTTGTGATAGTGAGTGAGTTCTCACAAGAACTGATGGTTTTACAAGGGGCTTTCCCCCCACCTCGTTCTGCACTTCTTGCTACTGCCATGTGAAGAAGGATGTGTTTGTGTCCCCTTCTGCTATAATTATAAGTTTCCTGAGTGCCTCCAGCCATCCTGAACTGTGAGTCAATTAAACCTTTTTCCTTTAGAAATTAACCAGTCTTGGGTATGTGTTTACTAGCAGCGTGAGCACAGACTAATACATCCATGTTGATATTCTAGTGTATGTACCTCCTGTGTCTTATTTCCCCCCACCACATTTTCTGAGAGATCTCTGAAACTTTATGAATGCATTTGACTATTTCATTTATTATATCCTATTTTTTTATGAGAGTTTATTTTTTAAAATTTGGTTTTATTTTTTCTGTAATGTTTTTCTCCTGTTTCAGCGATTGCCTCTTCGATCTCTGAGGATGTTAAATATAGTTTATTTAAGTTTTTTCTGCTTTCTGTTTGTTTCCAATTTTTTTCTTTTCTTTCATTTGTTAAAGAGTTTTCTCTAATGTTGGGTGATTTCTTGCTGTCTGCTACTATTTGAAAGTTAGGTAGTAAAAAGCTGATTAGAAATTCTTTCTCTGGTGTGAATGTGCTAGGATAATTTATTTAGTCTACAGTGCGCTCAGCCTGTACTGTTTCACTGAACTATTTCATTATTAGAAGGTTTTTATTTTATTTTTTCTTTTGAGATAGTTTCCTGAGGGAGGAGTTCTCCAGCCTTCTATCTGAGGTGTATTAGTCTGGCTTTTAGTGTTCTCAGTGCAAGAACAAAGTGATTTGGGAGTCGTCCCTTCATATGTAGACATTCACTGAAGCACCTAGGTTTCCGTGTGGTAGCCCACCCTCAGCTCTACCCACAGTCCCAGGGGCTAGGTTTCAGCTTCTTCAGAGGAGACATCTCTTGACTTCTATGGCGGAAGAAAGTCAGTCACCCAGTTGCATATGGGGGATAGGGAGGTCTGATGGGTGCAGCAAACCCTCCCTCCTTTCCTTGAGAGGTATCCAGTGCCTCCAGTTCCTGGGATATCCTGGGGTTCTGTAAAGTCAATCAGCTGGCAACTGAGACCACATCCATTGCAGACTTTGGTTTCTCTTTCTCGCTTTCTGGTGTAGGAAATCAATCTATTCTTACATTTCCAAATTTTTCTAGTTGACTTTTCTCCAATTTTCTTTTCCTTTGGGTTACCACTCCCTTGCCATGCTTATGACACTTTATATCTGCTCTTTTAGTAAAATATGGTTAGTGAACAAAGTAAATGTGTCTTTCATCAGCCATGTTTTACTGGAATACATCCCCAAAATAGAAAGTCTGGGTCAAGACCGTGAATATATTTAAAACTGTTGATTTATATTGGCATTTAAAAAAAGCCTCATTTACTTTGTTAATAATGTTTTTAATAGTTTTGCCTATAGGCTCACTTTATTACGGAATCATACAGTATATATACTCTGTGTTTGGTTTGTTAATTTTAATATTATGTTTCTGAGATAAATCCATATGGTTGTGTTTGTCAATTGTTTATTCTCAAGGATATATAGTATTATATTATGGGAGAACAACTTATTCATTAATCAAATTTTTGATGACCATTTTGTAGTTTTGTGTCTCAGGATATTAAAAATATTGATGCTATTAATTTTTTAAATTTTATTTATGAAATTTAAAATTGTATAACTGTTCTTTTAGTAAAATGTGGTAAAGGAACAAGCACATGTGCCTTCCATCAGCCATGTTGTACTGGAATAGATCCCAAAAATATAAAGTCCGAGTCAAATACATAAATATATTTAAAACTGTTGATACATAATGGCATTTTTGAAAAACATTTATTTTGTAACAGTTTTGTCGAAGTGTAATTCATATCCAACAAACTGTACATATTTAAGGTGCACAATTTCATAAGTTTTGACATGTACATGCTTGTGAAATGATCATTACGGTGAAAAAATAATCATACCCATCAATTCCAAAAGTTTTCTTGTACCCCGAGAGCATTGTATTTATAGATGATATTGGAGATAAATAACATCTTAACACTGTTGAGCCATCTGAACTATGAACATGATATTTCAGATCTTTAATTTCTCTTGGCAATATTTTGAAATTTGTAATACACAGGACTTGAACTTTTGTTTGGGTCGGATTTATCCCGAGGTATATCAGATTTGCTGAGACTATTATAAATGGTATTTTTTATTTCAATTTTTTATTGTTCATTTCTAGTGTACAGAAATACAACTGATTTCTCCACATCAATGTATGCTGCACCATTGCTTAACTTATTTACTAGTTCTTGTTGATTCCATCAGATTTTCTACGTAAACATCTAGGTTGTTTTTTAATAAAAGAAATTTTACTTGTATTTTTTCAGCCTGGATACCTGCTATTTCCTTATCTGGCCTAATTACGTTGGTCAAAATATCCAGCACAATAATGAATAGAAATGTGGAAGTGAATGTTCTTGTCTTGTTCCCGATCTTAAGAGGAAAGCATTCCATGTGTCACCATTAAGTATGATGTTAGCTTACGGCTTAACATGGATGTCTTTTATCAAACTGAAGAAATTCTCTTTTATTATGAGTTTGCCAAGAGTTGTCTTTTCACTTTTAGTTAAGAATGGATATTGGATTATATAAAATGCTATTTTTGTGTTATAGAGTTGATCATATGGATTTTCTTTTTTAAGTTTGTTAACATGGTGAATTAAGTTGATTAGTTTTCAAATATTAAAACTGCCTTGCATTCCTGGGATAAACCCCACTTGGATATAACGTATTATCCTTTTTATGTATTGTTGCAATCTATTTGCTAGCATTTTGTGTAGAAATTTTGTATTTGTGTTCATGTGGGATATTGATTTGTAGCTTTCTTTTCTTGTAATGCATTTGCCTGGTTTTAGTATCAGAGTGATACTGGCTTCACAGTAAGAATTGGGAAGAATTCACCCTTTTATAATTTCCTGAAAGAATTGGTATAGAATTGGAATGATTGCTTCCTTGATGTTTGATAGGTATCACCAGTACAGCCAGTGGGCCTGAAATTGTCTTTGTGGGAGGATTTTTAACTACTTATCTAATGTATGTCATAGACATAGTGTTATTCAGGTTATCTATTTCTTTTTGACTAAGCTTTGATAGTTTTTATTAATTCAGGAATTTGTCAATTTCATTTAAGTTGTCAAATTTATAGGCAGAAATTCATTTATAATAACCCCCGTTATCATTTTAATATCTGTAGAAACTGTAGTGATGTCATCTGTCTCATTCTTAATATTGGTTTGTGTATTTCTCTTTTTCCCTCCCAATATGTCTATCTGAGTTATAAAAATTTTATTGATCACATCAAAGAATCAGCTTTTGATTTCTTTCTTTCTTTCTTTTTTTTTTTTTCAGACCAAGTCTGTCACCCAGGCTGGAGTGCAGTGGCACGTTCGCAATCATGGCTCACTGCAACCTCCGGGTCCCGGGTTCAAGTGATTCTCATGCCTCAGCCACCCGAATAGCTGGGATTACAGGCGTGCTATACCACGCCTGGCTAATTTTTGTAGTTGTAGTAGAGATGGGGTCTCGCCATATTGGCCAGGCTAGTTTTGAGGCCTAGGTTCAAGTGATCTGCCTGCCTCGGCTTCCCAGAGTGCTGGGATTACAGGCGTGAGCCACCGTGCCTGGCCTCATTATTTTTTCTCTACTGATTTTTCTCCTTTATTATTTTATTGGCTTCTGCTCTATTATTATTTCCTTTCTCCTTACTTTGGATTTAATTTGTTCTTCTGTTTATAGGTCTTAAGGTGGAAGCTAAATTCATCAATTCAAGACTATTCATCATCTTTTCTAATACAGGCATTTAATGCTGAAAATTTCCCCCTAACTATTGCTTTGGTGACATCTCACAAATTTTAATTTCAACTTTCCACTTCACTATTTTTAAATATTTAAATTCTTTAAGCATTTTATGGTAGAAAAATATCTTGCATTTGTCTAAAACTTTACACTTCTCAGGATGTAAAAAATTACATTTTATTCTCAAAATAAGTGAAAATTGGCACTTTTATTCCCAGTTGAACAGTCAGTCAGCAAATATTTGTTAAATGCCCTACTCTGTGGTAGACTCTAGGGATGTGGTAGCTGCAAGACAATATTTCCTCTGTCAAGGAGTTTATTTATTTTAGTGGAATAAGTATTTTAAAAACGAGATGCAGAGACACCATGAAGTTAAGTGGCTTGCTGATCACACAGTGGTATGTGCTAACTCCTTAGTCTCTTAACTCTAAGATCAGGGTCCCTTGTCTTATACCACAGTATTTCAGAATTATTTTTTAATTAAATGTAAAAATATAAGAGTATTACTAAAACTTATGTGCATTATTAAAGCAAAGTAATATAAAGAATCCTCAATAAAACCACAGGCTACTGTTTACTCAGCTGATGCAAAGTTAACTAATTCTCTTATTACAATGTTGATGAGTGTTTATACTACCTGACTGGGAAGAAAACTATCCCACCAACACACATTTATTTTGGGCAAATAGCTTTACTTTTATGGTTCTTAATTTACACTTATAATAATTGAGATTAGATCAAATGATGTAATTCATATTTCTTCTGATTTTTAGATACTAAATTAAAATTTTAATATTTCTTAAGAATTCAATGTGGTGCTTTACTCTTTATTGGAGTTTCAAAAATAAAATAAGATCTAATACTTGCACCAAAATAATCTAGCCATGAAGGCAAGACATACACATGAAATATTTTTAAATGTGAATATGAGTGATACATACGATAAGATTCTGGAACAATTGGGGTTAATTTTGCCTCCCTGGGAGACATTTGAAAATCATATCTGCAGATACTTTTGGTGATCACTATTTGGGGGTGACTCCCATTGATATCTAGTGGGTAGAGGCTAAGAATGTTGCCAACCATCCTGCAAGGCACAGGAAAGCCCCCACAAAAAAATTGCAAACACAAAATTACCTGGACCAAAATGTCAATAATGTTGAGACTGAGAAACACTGCTCTAAAAATTCAGAGATAAAAAACACTATGGCAAGAAAAGATCGGGAAAGTTTTATTGAGGAACTGTTTTTCCAGGAACCCCTGGCATGGTTACATCTGGAGAACCACAGCATGAACAAGATTATGGAGAAAGGAATCAGCGTTGTTTATATGGGGAACCATGAGAAACCCCGTGCAGCTGGAGTGGCGGCCTCGCATATCAAATAGACAGTGAGTTCGGTGCTATATTGTGGAGAACCTCAAATGCCAGAATAAAGACTTCTTACTTTATTTATTAGACATTGGGGAGCCATTTAATGGGGATCCTTTAGAGTAAGCAGTGTTTTAGTTAGATTAGTCAGGCAGTGGTCTGAGCATTGTTGTAGTGGAGAGGCTGGAAGACAATCAGGAGGTTATTATAACAATCCAACCTTGAGGTATTGAGTATTAATTCAAGCAGAACTTTACTTAACCATGATGCTTGTACCACAAATCCTTGTCTAAATGCAATTACAGATTAGGGTAAAGCCATCCAGCAACAGTAGCACCAAATCATGTTTCACACAGTGCATAAACAATGAGTACTAGCTTATAAATTACATGGATTAGTTAAGCTGTGCAATCTTGCTCATGTGTTTATATTGTGTTTTTGATATGTTTCAAAAAATGTCATTTTACTTCACAAACTGAAGCAATAAAAATATCACCTGCTAACATGTTAGCTTTTATCACTTCAATGCTGGGTCCTTTCTGTCTCTGGTTCCTATGTCCTCTCTAGAGCAGTATTCCATAAATGCTGAGTTCCATGAATCACAGTGACAAATACATTACTTTGTAAGTTTGCTGTCATGATTGTTTCCACTTGCCTAGGCAAAAATAAAAAAAAAAAAACCACCCAAAAGTTAACCTTTCAGGTTTTCAGTGGAAGACGAAGTGAAAATATTGGGAAGTTATTTTGATGCTTATAAATTTAATTATTGACTTAGTAAGATTGACACAAGCAACAATATTTTTCCTTCTTCACTCTCTTGTTTTCCACGGCTCTGATTGAATAACTAACCCCAGTTATATCACTGTAATTAATGCATTAAAGCTTATATTTGAACCAGAGAATTGATCATTTGAAGCCTGGAAGAAGCAGTCTTGTGACCATCACGGCAAAAGTAACTTGTTCTTCCCAGTTACAGTGGAACAACTACCTTGCTATACCCTGTTTGTAGTCAAATCTCAATAGATATCAAAGGTATAGATTATCAACCTAAATAAAAAACAGAGAGAGGCTAAAATATATTTATTTGGGAATAGAGCATTGCAGTGAAAATATGTATGCCATAGTGAACTATGTGTATACTCAGGGATAAAAGGTTTTTTTTTATTTTTTAATGAGAAGGATTACATAACTGTTTTGAAATAATTATTCTTGGCTACACAGATTAATAATTAAGTCTCAGATTGGACAGACAGTTGCTAGGCAGAAGTTTTTGCAGAAGCATTTTTTGTGTAAGATTGTGATGGCCTTTGTGCAAGGTTGTGGTTATTGTATAGTCTTTTTCGCTGTGAGGCATAGAAACGTGAGAACCCCCTTTTCCTGGCTTTATCTGTCAGGGTTTTCTTAGCATTCATGACTCCATTTTGAATCTGACAACTTTCACAGAATAAACAAATGAATGGATGGAAGATAATATAACATGGCAAAGATGCTAGAATTGATTCCTGGCCTTGTCAACCATTAGCTATTGGGAGGAATAGATTTTTTTTTAAAATAGAAAGAAAAAGTAAATACTCTCTTTCTTTGGTATTAGAAAAGATGTTCTAAGAAATTTTTAATTTAGAAAACCGTCTGCTTTCAAACACTGGCTATTTTGGAGATATTCATGACTGATTTAGATATAAGTTTAAATCACAGAGAATAAAATGAATAGCTGACTTAGTCATTTGAATTAAAACTTTCTTTCATGATGAATAAGGCTTTTGAAAAATTAAATAAACTAAAATTAACTTTTCTATGAAGAACGTATTACAATAATCTTCCCTTATCCATAGATCCTCTCTCTGCAGTCTCAGTTACCTGTGGTCAACTAGGATCTGAAAATATTAAATAGAAAATTTCAGAAATACAAATTCATAAATTTTAAATTGTGTGTTATTCTGTGGCATGTGATAAAATTTCATACTGTCTTGCTTCATCCTGCCCAGAAAACAAATCTTCCCTTTGTCCAGCATTGCCACACTGTATAGTCCACCCTCCTGTTGTGAGCCATCTTACTTATCAGATCGACTAAGGTGGAGGTATTACAATGCTTGTGTTCAAATCACCTTTATTTTACTAAATAATGCTCCGAAAAGCAAGAGTAATTATCTTAACAATTCAGATATGCAAAAGAGAAGCCATAAAGTGCTTCCTTTAAGTAACATGGTGAAAGTTCTTGACTTAATAAAGAAAGAAAAATAATGGTGTGCTGGGCTTGCTAAGATCTAAGGTAAGAACAAATCTATCTGTGGAGAAGAAAAAAGAAATACATGCTTGTTTTTCTGTCATACCTCAAACTTTATAGTACTTATAGGTTTTGGTGCTATATGTGGTTTGTGGCATCCACTTGGGTCTTGGAACATATTCTCTGTGAATCAGGGGAGACTACTGTATTGAAATACTTTAACTAAACAGTATGCACTTGACATGTAAACAAGTTTCAGGAAAACTGACTTCCAGTGGTTATTCTGCTGGTAAGAATAAAGTCCCATTCAGTAGGCCATTCTGTTGATGTGAACACAGTCTTACTCTGTGATAGGCCTTGTGCCCAGGAGGGAGAAGACAAACTAACCAACAACTTGAGGGAAGATAAGAGACACAAGTGTCAATGCGCATGTGCACTGAAAGGCCATCATTAGGGCTAACTGATTTGAAGATGCTGCTCAAAATATTCCTTTATTTGGTTTCTATGTGCCTGCAATGCGGTTACTTTAGAGCCTATTCATAAAAGAGGTGAGCTGAACAGCAGATAATTTCCTTAGCACCAAGAAGTATTGGAGGTGAAAACACACTCAGAACGCACTCGTCTGCGGTCATTCACTATGGCATTAAAGTTGCCTGGGAGTTGGCCGCCTATCATTGAGGCAAAGATTTCCTTGGATTATTGTTGTGGGTAGCTGAAAAGGCCTGAAACTGTCCTTGGGTATGATGGACACCTTTGAACACACACAACCATTTTTTAGGCCACTTCTTGATAGGAATTGCCTGCCTCCCATCCAGCGATGTCCTTCATGCCAAAGTCCTGCCTCTTAGAGAGGAGCTAGTGTTGCCTCACTTATACCAATCACAGTGCACTATTCTGCCACTGTGGGCCTTGGCTCAAGGAGATGCCACCTTATTTTAAAGATTTCGTTCCAGACTTCTGATAAGCTACCTCAAAACTTCTAAAATGAAGGAAAGTTTTAAGTCAAAATATTGGCTATTTGAATGATCTAAGGCATCTGCTTTATACTGTGGTCCACCATGCAAGGCTGATTTGGGAGGCACAGTTGTAGTTAGACCACAGTGGAGATTGGTTTGCTCATTCCTCAGCTGAAATGTAAAGCTTGAATTAAAGGTGTTTTCACTTGGAAATCGCCTTAGAATGGTTTTGTTTCTCTTAGACACACAGAGGCTCAACGTTTTCACACTGGGAGAAAATAGTGGCTATTATAAAAATAAATGCATGCTCATAGGAATGTCATAATTAATCTTAGGGATATGTGGCTTTTTTTTTAAGAATGTCATTGACAAGCCTTCTTGGTTATAAAAAAGTAGGCCTTACAATTTAGTCTGGAGTTGAGAATAACATAAATGTGAGATAAATTATGCTGTACAATTAAGTAGGAGAAGTTGGGGACTCTAATAGGGCATCTGGACAGGGTAATAGGTTGAATGGGTCTAGAAGCGGGGAGCAGAGCAGAGACAGGTATTGCAACAGAAGGTGAGAGTGGGACCCAACGCATGTGAGAGTGGGCCCTAATACTAGACAGGGGCCAAAGAAGACAGATGACTGATAAGAAATTCCCTGTAGTAGTGATAACTAAGGAACATTGAAAGACAAATGATGTCTAAACATTCCTTTTAAAGTTGTCTCATTTTGTCCTGTGTCATAATCTCCCTACACTTTTATTAAAAATAGATATAATCGGCCGGGCGCAGTGGCTCATGCCTGTAATCCCAGCACTTTGGGAGGCCGAGGTGGGCAGATCACGAGGTCAGGAGATCGAGACCATCCTGGCTAACACGGTGAAACCTCGTCTCTACTAAAAATACAAAAAATTAGCCGGGTGTGGTGGCGGGCGCCTGTAGTCCCAGCTACTCGGGAGGCTGAGGCAGGAGAATGGAGTGAACCCGGGAGGTGGAGCTTGCAGTGAGCCGAGATCGCGCCACTGTACTCCAGCCTGGGCAACAGGGCGAGACTCCGTCTCAAAAAAAAAAAAAAAAAGATATAATTAACTTGAGTCACTGATGTGCTGGGAGATGCAGGAGGAGTTGGAGCTCTGTCTTCACTTGGGCTATGTAGAGTGTACAGAAGCTGCAGTGTGCAAGATGATGGGACTGAGACCTAAACGCGGCCTCGAAATTCTGAGCTGGAATCAAAAGTTTCAGGAAGAGATAGTGGATATCCCACTGCAGTGTACAAAGGAGAGCTCTTGTTATTTATATAGATATGAAACGGAAAGAAGACCCTTTTTTTTTTTTTAATTTTTGAGATGGAGTCTCGCTGTGTCACCCAGGCTGGAGTGCAGTGGCGTGATCTTGGCTCACTGCAACCTCTGTCTCCTGGGTTCAAGCAATTCACCTGCCTCAACCTCCTGAGTAGCTGGGACTACAGGTGCGTGCCATCACGTGTGGCTTTTTTCGGTATTTTTTGCAGAGATGGAGTTTCATCATGCTGGCCAGACTGGTCTCGAACTCCTGTCTTCAAGAGATCTACCTGCCTTGGCCTCCCAAAGTGTTGGGATTACAGGCGGAGCCACTGCGCCCAGACATGAAAGATGACTCTTGAAGACTGCAAGGTTTGGGGAGACTTGCTCACATTAGACATAAACCCAAGAGGAGAGAGGACAAGGAAAGGGGAAAATATGAGGAACAGAGCCCCAAATTCATGAGTTCTTACTTTTTTCTCTGACCCCCTTAAATATTTCCTATATGTTAAATCAGATTAAAATGAAGGTGGGTACAACATTGAGAAGAAAAGAAAATGCAAAAGAGCAGCAAGGAAGCAGCAGGCATTCTGAGGACAAAATGATACTAGTTAACACTGACATAGGTCTATCTTTGTACTTGGTTCCCATCAAGGCGTTCAGATAACAATTCAGGCTTTTATTTAGCATCATCTGGCAAAGCCGCATCTTCTCCCTCCAGGCCTGGGAACTTTCTCAATCTAGTTTTACTGCTCCCCAGGGACCTCCCCAAGTGGAATAGACCTAACAAATGTGATGCTTTTGATATTCTTCTGAGGGTAGAGGTGATGGCTTCGAGATAAAAGCAGATATAAAGGGTTATCAATCAGTAGTCCAGAGGGAAGGAACATCCTTAGGAGAGTGGAAAGTGCAAAAGATAATCCAAACCAATGTCCTTAGTATTTCTAAAAGTTGCTGAATGCTTGGGTGGGATTTGGAAGAACAATTTTAAACATGCATTATTTATTTAAGTGACTTTATTGGTGTGTCAGTTAATGAGTTCTAGTCTTCAAGAAGGATATGACAATATGAACATCAATCTTTAGAAGATAAACATTACTCTGGAAGGAAAACAAACCTGAAGCTTTATGTAGGACCTGGAAAATTTAACTCTCTGGGCTTAGTTTCCTCATCTGTGAAATAGAAATTGGAATAATTGATTTTCTCATGCTTCCAGTTCAAAGATTTTATGATTTGGTAATATTAATCCAACAAAATTTATTAACATTGAGTGCTAATTAAATTCAAGGCCCTTTAAAGATTCTAGTGATACAAGATTGATCTTTGTCTTCAAATATCATAAAAGTAATTGGATAAATGGAGTGTAGAGATAAATGAGAACGTATAAATTCCATTCCACAAACTCACCTGTATGAAAAATAAGGATTGTTTTTTGTTTTCTAAAAAGTAACTTAATGTCATGTAAAAGCTGTGATCTTGTTACTTTGGGGCTTTTCCCTGCCTTTCTCCAGAATTGTGCCATACACAGTTCTGGGGGCTCATGTAACGCCAAACAAGGGTAGACTATGGTACCCAGTTATGTATATATATAAGCTAACGTTAGGAAATTCAGGGTCCCAGCTTGGATGGCCTCCTCATATCCTGTGATGGTCTGCTGCTTCCTTGCCAGGTTTGGGACATGGAGAGTGTCTTCAAGACTTCCTGTGCCCATCTGCAACGTATACCATACAGGCAACACTCTCTGAGTTCCTGGGATGTTTCTGCATTCTAAAGGGACCTGCGTGCTCTGAAAAATTGCAGACGTTGCCTCTTTGTTCTTTCCCAGGATATATCTTTAGTCTGGGGCAAATCATTTTCCCTTGACATTTCCTTAAAGCTACTCTGTTTATGTTTGCAAGCTCTCTAAGTTCTCCATTGGGTTTTGGGTTTTGAAATATCAAAATAAGAAAGACTTTCAAGCTACTTCTTGGTCGGCCTCCCCTGAAGCAATGAACCGCAGAGGCTGCTGCCTTCTTTAAACGAATGGAAGGGAGACGGAAATACACTGAGACCAAAATTAATAACTCAAATAACTTGATTTTATTAAAGGCTAAAAAACAATAGAAAACATAAGAGAATGATCGTTTTTTACTGGATGCGCGTGTCTGTTTAGAATTATAAGTGCATTTTTAACACTGCATAACTGTAACATGTAGAATCTTGCAAAGCCTTGAGAGGAGGCAACTCGGAGGGTTTGAGAGAGCAGGAAGAATTGTCAGCCTCTTCTGAAAAGGGCTAGAGAGGATGCCAATCTTAACTGCTCTACAAATTAACAGAAAATTAAGAGTATTCTTTCCAGAGGGGAACTCAATGAAAGTGCCAAGTCAGGGTGGGTGGTTTATGGAAGGGGGAAGGTGGAAATATGCCCCTGTTATTGTTGGGTGAAAAACAGAATGGGGAAAAGGAAGAGCAGGCAAAGAATCACATAAGGAAAAATACCTCTGGGAAGGGGGGCTTCCCGTCTTAGTCTGCGAGGTCACTGGATTCTCAAATATGGGCTCTGAAAATGAGCTTCAAGAATCTGGGAGGGCCTGGAGAAAGCTTACAATATTTTCTGTTTAATTTCCCTGAGAATCTAGTACGTGAATATGTTTGAATTCTGGAAGGAAGGTTGGTGGGGAATGACCAGAGGCATGGCGACTTGCCAAAGGGTAAAGGTTTTTTCTCAAGGCACAGAAAGTTACAACTTGGGTTTTTACGCTGAGGTAGCTGACCAGATAAAAGACAGGGCAGTGTGAACTCAGAGAAGCATCAGGGTAACCTAGTACCCACAAAGATGACCAGCACAAAAGCTCCAGTGTGAATATTCTCCAAATTAGGCTTGTGGCATCTAGCGTAGATGGGGTTGGTGAGGATAGGAATGGAGGGCCTGCATGCCCAGAAATGAAACCAGCCAAACCAGTCTGTGGTTAAACCCACTTTATGTTATGAGCAAAAAATGTGCACTGTAAATAGGACTGTTTCTCTGATTTTGCTACTTTTTTGTTTTTAATTTTGTTTTTCCGTTAGCAGAGATGCTTTTGAATATTCTAGTCTCCTTTTGGTGAGACGCCTTGGAAAATTCCAGGTTATCTCGATTGAGCTATAAGATCAAAAAATCTCTTCCTCTCTCCACACTTAAACTTGGAGAACAAAAGGGAGCTGAGTGTTTTCAGGGTCAGTGTGTGGGTTGCAGCTGCCCCGTTGCCCAGTGGACCAGCAGACCTTGTCTTATGAGCAGTAGAGCAAAGTAAGAAGTGGTAGAGTTAAGGGGACACTTGAGATGTTCCTGAACTAAATACAGGGTGTGTTAAGTGCTGAACATGCAGTTCTTAAACTCAGCACTGTAGGATGTCCTGGCAGGGAGAAATAGCTAAGGTTGGGTTTGCTAAGAAAGACTTCATGAAATAGTTTTGATTTGAAATCGACCTTGAGGAATGAGTAAGGACTCAGAGATATGTACTTAGGTATGCTTATGTTTTATCTATACATATTAGTTTCGACACTCAATTCATTAAACACAGCCCATTCCAGGAGCAGCCTTGTAAAGTCACGTTTTCACATTCTGGGTTCTCAGGGTTGGCTGTGTGTGAATGAGGAAGGAGGAAAAGTTTCTTTCAAAGTTACCACAGCAAAGTAAGTTGATAGTGAATTAAATGAAGATACGTGGAATATTCTACAGAAACTAATTTTTAGGAAATCTGAAAACCTGGATGAATCATGGTTTTATTATCTCCTTAGATGAGTTATGAGATGGAAGATAAATATTAGCAGGCAGCAAATTACTGTGCTTCAGCCTATGGTGAAGAGAACTCTGACCTTGTCTTTCACAGCTTTATGAGCAGTGGGGCAAAGTAAGAAGATCATCTGGTTAGTTTCTTATGCATATGTATATATCTGCAGGATTTTAACTTGGAGATTGATCATTGAACCATAGATCTAATAGCTTTTAGATGCTTTGTTTGAGGAGAGAGGCTTTCACTTTAGAAAGACTGGTTACTACGTCTTGTTATGTTACTAACTAGCACTGTGACCTTGGGCAAAATACTTAATCTTAGTATTTCCTTATTTTGAGAGTTAGATTATGTTAGGGGTCCCTGATATTTCTCTGGGTAGGAGCTGTCCTTTCCCTTTGCCTCTTCTGAAGCTCGCAGTCAGATAAAAAATTCTAAATGTTATTTTAGTTCTGAAGAGGGATAATAAAGAACTGTTATTAATTTCATAACTTTATGTAACTTGTAGTATAAGACTGTAACCCTTCCAGCTATGTCAAAATCTCTGGGGTTAGAAGAATTTGTGAATAATAAAATTGAGAAATTTGAGAGGGTGTTAAAGTGAGATTGTTATTAATAAAATTCCTGAGCTATATTAAGGAAGAAACACCATTGACTCCTTTATAAGGAATCCTAGAAAATTACAAGAAATGGGCATTTGCTGTCAAAAAAAAAAACCTCATGGGCTCTTCAACCATTCACATTCCAACCAATGCTTACTTTTCAGGCCTAGAGACCGTTTATCCTGAACCTGAGACTTCAGCTAACTTTTTCTTAGAAAATTCTAGGATTGGCTTATATCTGGAGATGAAATAGTTATAGTCCCCAGTATCTTCACATCCTGCTTTTCTGAAAGCGAAACCTTTTTCATTTTAGGCTTTTTAAACAATCACTTGAGGAAAATTCCAGGCTAAAAATCACTTAAGTCACCGTAGACATGGTTTGTGCTGCCTATTGGTTCTGTTTCCTTGGCTAAATGCTCTGCAGATCCTTATTTAGACAGTTCTGGATTATAGGCTTGGAATAGTCAGGCTGTTGTTAGAATATTTTTCCTGCTCTCCCCTTTCCTAATGTAGGCTTCACCTACGGGCTTCTGCTGGTCTGTTAGTCAATGCTCAAGGTCTCTTCCAGAATTAAAGTATTAAGATTCTATATGAAGGTTTAGAAATATTTGTGCCTTTTTTGGCTTTACAAATAGTATCTAAATTTCTGAGCTAGAATGGAAACATAATAAGGGGAGATGTAATAAGGGGAGATATGATAAGGAGATATAATGAGAGATATAATAAGGGGGGCAAAATACAATTTCTCTCATAAGAAGAGTTGAAGCTTTCTTTGCTTAATGTGAAGCATCAATGTTTATACACGGGTTTTCCCATTGGCATAGATCTTTGTATGAGTCCCAGCATTTGTGAATAGGAGCAGGGATTCTCATCCTGTCTCTATCTCATCCATTTTCTTCAGAGATGTTGCAGGTGCCCTGATATAAAGTCCTGATTCATCTCTGGGAGTGATACTTGCTAACATAGTAAGTCAGTGCTTGCATTATGTGTAAAAAGTTTGCTGGGCAAATTTTAAATGGTATTGAGCAGCAAGGAAGTTCTGGGGTTTGACAAGGGGCGGGATTTTGGAATTTTTGCTCTAGTTTCCATTCCAGAAACACTTCTCTGTCCACTAGTTAAAACATTTTGGTGTCGATAGAAATACAATCTAAAGTTTTTTTTTTTTTTTTATACTCTAAGTTTTAGGGTATATGTGCACATTGTGCAGGTTAGTTACGTATGTATACATGTGCCATGCTGGTGCGCTGCACCCACTAACTCGTCATCTAGCATTAGGTATATCTCCCAATGCTATCCCTCCCCACTCCCCCCACCCCACAACAGTCCCCAGAGTGTGATGTTCCCCTTCCTGTGTCCAATTGATCTCATTGTTCAATTCCCACCTATGAGTGAGAATATGCGGTGTTTGGTTTTTTGTTCTTGCGATAGTTTACTGAGAATGATGATTTCCAATTTCATCCATGTCCCTACAAAGGACATGAACTCATCATTTTTTATGGCTGCATAGTATTCCATGGTGTATATGTGCCACATTTTCTTAATGCAGTCTATCATTGTTGGACATTTGGGTTGGTTCCAAGTCTTTGCTATTGTGAATAATGCTGCAATAATCATACGTGTGCATGTGTCTTTATAGCAGCATGATTTATAGTCCTTTGGGTATATACCCAGTAATGGGATGGCTGGGTCAAATGGTATTTTTAGTTCTAGATCCCTGAGGAATCGCCACACTGACTTCCACAATGGTTGAACTAGTTTACAGTCCCACCAACAGTGTGCTGGAGAGGATGTGGAGAAATAGGAACAAGCTAAAGTTTTTAATGAAAGTGACACTTGGTCACATTCTTCTATTTTCCTACTCTACTTTAAAAAGTGTGTGGGCTGGTTCTCAGGGAAGGGTGCAGAGAAATTACTACCTTTGCCCCATATGACCTCAAGCCTCTAAAATTATTGATTCTTCAATACAGTGAGAATTCATAACCCTGATTATATTTGCAACAATGAAAGTCACATGGTCATTTCAGAATTATTACATATTTATAGAGTATGGATTACATGATATTTATAGTCCTAATTCAATAGCAAACACACAGTTTCCATGCTACAAATGGCTATGAAAATTACAAGAACCATGGAAATTAGATTTATATGGGCTTCTGTGGCTGCCTGAATTCCACAAGAGGAATGCCAGATTATTTTTTATTGCCAGACCCCATACTTAGGAAAACCATGAAAAATTTGGAATTTTTAAATAACTGTCACAAAGATACAGTTCAATTTAGACTAAAAATTCATTATTAGGCAATCCTTCCATCACACCCCAAACAATTCTCTGTCTTCCTTTCTCTCCAACCCCTAGTACTTTTGCCATGCTACTGATATTTTATTGGCTTCATGTTTAACATAAAATTCTAAAAATATTATGACCATGGATTACTAGTTCAAAAGTCATAGCTAAATGTTATCATTTTGATGTCTTTTATTGGCTGGCCTAGATTCTTAAAGAGGAATCTTAAGCTACGTCTGTCGGTAAGTATTTAGAAATCACCTGTTATGAGTTCAAAGCTGTTGTTAGGTTGGTGAGCATACAACAAACTTCCAGGCATTATTCTTATTTTCAAAGAACTTATAATAACAGGTGTGACAAATGGCTTAGAGGAGAGATTGATGTTAAAAAACAGCTCTTAGGAAATTATTGTGGATCTATAAACTTTGGGTAACAATGCTTTCTATTAGTTTAGTACATTTACAAGAGGAATATAGACCTGAGAATCAGAGATACATTGATGGCTACAGGTGAGTTGTGTTATGTATGAAGGTCAAAAGTGATAGGAATGACTTTGGGATTGAGTTCACGTACGTGCATAAATTAATCTGAATAATGACCTCATGAGTAGATTTTACTATCTCATTGAGCCCTGAGAAGTTTACATCACATCTAATAGAAATTATCTTTAAAAGTATAAGATATATGTATATGTGTGTGCATAAATATGTAAAAATGTATGCATTCATATCTATTTATCTATCACCTATCTATCACCTATCTACATTTCTTTTTGTCTACAGATGTATGTACATATCTATTGCTTATCTATCTACACTCGTACATAGACAAACAGACATTATACAGACAGCCTATTAAATAGCTCTAGTGACCTTAATCCAGAGCTTAAAAATACCCGGGGATATTTATAAATAAATATATCTATTAATCTTCCTTCATTTTTTAGATCACTGCCCATGTGGGTGCAAGTGAATCCTTCTCCCTGAAGATTTCTATTCTTTATCCATGTCATTTATTTCTATGGAATGCACTATGGATGTCAGCCTCATTTAGGTATTCCATACTTCATTAGTAAGAAATCATAGTCCAGGCAGGGCGCGGTGGTTCATGCCTGTAATCCCAGCACTTTGGGAGGCCGAGGCGGGCAGATCACAAGGTCAGGAGATCGAGACCATCCTGGCTAACATGGTGAAATCCCATCTCTACAGAAAATACAAAAAATAAAAATAAAAAAATTAGCTGGGCGTAGTGGCAGGCGCCTGTAGTCCCAGCTACTCGGGAGGCTGAGGCAGGAGAATTGCTTGAACCCAGGAGGCGGGGGTTGCAGTGAGCCAAGATGGCGCCACTTCACTCCAGCCTGGGAGACAGAGCGAGACTTCGTCTCAAAAAAAAAGAAAAAAAAAAAAAGAAATCATAGTCTATATTCACCATCTTTTTTATAAGCTCTAAATTTCTTATTTATATTTGGCATCATGGTATTTTTCAGGGTATTTTTCTTCGGAGACTCTTAGATTTTAATCCATAAATGTGTGGTAGAATCAAGTCTCTGCCTTTCTCCTCATCGGTATAATATTTCCAAACAATGGAGCTTTAGGATACATAAACATTAATTTCTGGTTGACCACTTTCCCAGGGTCATAGTATTTTGCTTCAATTAATATTACATTTAAATATTTGCATATCCCATATAGTGTCTTCGGATTAAATAGAGAACATATGATTAATTTCTTTGGTAGCCACATCACTGCTCTTGATACCTTATTAACATATAAATGATTCAGTTGAAAATGAAATGTATTCCCACTACATTTAGTCAGAATGTGGTCAAAGCCACCTCGTTAGGAATATTTCCCATGTATCTCTCTCTCTTCATCTAACACCCCACCTCTCTTTTTTCTGTTATCTACTCTTGTAAGATCTTTACTCATAAATGACAGCTTTCCCCCGTGCTCAAAATTATACCTCTTACCTTTTTCATTAAGTTTTACAATAAAATGGATAAAAAGCTTATATAAATGTTAGCCTAGATTTTTCTTTAAGAAAATCGTCCAATCTTAAGTAGATTGTCATTAATGTGCCTTTTAGGAAAGGTCTCAATTTTGGCTGGTTGTGCTAGCTATGAAATGAAAACACTGCACAGAAAGTCAAGATAGTGATGTAGCTGTAATGCGGCTTGTGCTACGTGTGTTCTGGCCTGAACTGGGTGGGGAGGAGGGGGGTGTATCTGGATGATTTTTTAGAGAAATAATTTCTAGACTGAGATCTGAAGGACTAAAGTTAGTCGAGAAGGTGGGAGGTAGGAGAGTTATAATAAAGGGAATAGACTGTAGAAAGAAATCAAGAAGAAAGGTTAATTCATGAGTACGAATATACAGTTAGATAGAAAAAATAAGACCTGTGATTCCATAGATCAGTAGGGTGATGATAGTTAACATCAATCTACTGTACATATCAAAACGGCTAGAAGAGAATAATTTAAATGTTCCTAGCATAATTATATAAATTATATAAATATAAAAAGATAGATATATAATGTGAAAGATACCCCAATTACCCTGATTTGGGTGTATGAATGTATTAAATTATTACATGTACCCCTGAAAATATGTACATCTATTATGGATATTATGGATGTACAATGAAAAAGAAATCAAGAGACAATAAATATGACAGGCTGGTGTGACTGAAAGTGATTCAGTAAGGCTTGAACATAGAGCTGGAAGTGAAGATGAAAGAGAAGCCCAGACAGGTAAGCGGAGATGCGCTTCAAAGGGCTATTAATCTATTGAGTGATTGATTGATTGATATTTGGAGACAGGATCTCACTCACCCAGGCTGGAGTGCAGTGGCGAGATCTCAACTCATTGCAACCTCCGCCTCCAGGGTTCAAGTGATTCCCCTGCCTCAGCCTGCCAAGCAGCTGGGATTACAGGCGCGCGCCACCACGCCCAGCTAATTTTTGTATTTTTAGCGGAGACAGGATTTTGCCATGTTGCCCGGGCTGGTCTCACATTCTGGACACAAGTGATCCACTCACCTTGGCTTCCCAAAGTGCTGGGATTACAAGCGTGAGCCACCACACTCGGGCCAAAGGGCCTTTTAAATGAGCTAATGCAGTTGGATTTTATGACAAAAGTCACTGCAGTGAAATAAGACATCAAAATCTCTATGTGTCTAAATAGGAATGAGATTTTATGAGTGTAATGCTGTATTTTCTTTTTATAATGAACTGATTCTGTATATAACAACATTCAGAAAAAATTAATAAATTAATCGATCAATATCAGTCGATGAAATAGAACCTATTTCAAGCAAAAGCTATCTCTAAGGAAATGATCTTATATTGGCATTTCTTAAAATCTTGAGCATAACTCTAGATTATTTTCCTGCTTTTAAATGACATCTAATTTATTTCTGACAGTGTGAATTGTGTATAGTAAATTCTTATTAATTGAAATGATATTTCTGCCTAGTACCCATTAGTTAGTTTTCCTAGGCTTAATACCTGGGTGATGAAATAATCTGCACAACAAACCCCCTGGACACACACTTGCCTATTTACAAGCCTTCACAGTCTGCATATGTACCTCTGAACTTAAAATAAAAGTTAAAAAAAGAAAGAAATGATAATTTTGACTTATTCATGCCCCCTAAAATGTCTTTTAGGGACACTTTCTTCTAAAACAGGCTATATAATTAAGAGAGATAAATTTTAAGTATTTTATGTTTTGATATGAAATATGAGTATGCAGGACATTGTCATGGAAACATGTATAAAAAATGAAAGAGGAAATTTAATTATCTAGGAAAAGAGTTGGGAAATACTTAAAAACCCTTGGAGGAAAGTACATTTACATTATGATAAAAGGTAAGAAATTAGTCACTGTAGACAGAGCCCCTCAGGTGTTTGGCATTCTCAACTGCCTTAATAAAAAAAAAAATAGTAATACTTTGAAAATAAGGCCACTGAGTAGAAACATCAACAAAATTTGCCAAAAATCTTTCTAATGCAAAAATTACAGGAGAAAAAAATAACCAGCATTTACATTTATGATGTTAGCTTTCAAAATCAGTTTTTGTCGGGTAAAACTAAAGACATATGAGTTTTTTTTTAATATAAAGGAAAATAAAGAAAAAAGCAATGTGGGTAGAAGAAAAACTATTTGGAAAGGGAAATGACAGCTGAAATTAAGAGCAATGATAGCTACTATAAAAAATACAAATGAATGAAAAAGCTGCCCATGTGTGAAAGAAGAAATACTGGCCCGAAAAATATTGAGCTCTGGGGATGTTTAGGAAAAAGAAAAATCATACTTACTTCAATAATTCTGAGCATGTAACCTTGCCACATTTGAATGCTATAGCAATGTTTGATCAGTCTAGGGACAAATTTAAAAATTCTCTTAGTACATGAAAATGTCTAACATCTATAAATAATTCTAACTCATTAAGGAAAGATAAGTATGCTCAGTTTCTTTAAATAAAAGAATAATAAAGAGTGTAATATATTTTAGAAATGTTTTCATAAAAATGATTAAAATGAAAGTTCCTGAATTTGAAGTACCAAGTCTCCACTTGTCTGAAACTTAATTTATCCAATTAACACTTTTCTAGGCTCTATTCACTCCACCACTACATTTACCTTAATATCAGCTAAACAAAATTTGTTGATTATTCCAGCCATTCTGTTGTTTCATTTCACCCATCTCCTCATCTCATAGGTATTGAAACTGCCTGAATTTGGTTCTTATTACTAAATTACTTCTTTTTTGTTTAACTGATTTAATAGAAGGTTGTTTAAAAAAATTGTTTCAGAGAAGGGTATAATCACTTGCTTTCTCAACCATTAAAAATTAGAAATCCAGATTTCAATAATACATTATGTGTTCAACTGGAATCTAGAGCATTCAATGCTAATGAAAATTATAATAGTAATCCCCTGTGCATTAATGTACTGCCTGAAGAATAAAATAGAACAAAATGAAAATGTTGAGACTTTTCTACAGTCAAAGGGTTTGGACATTTTCCATTTTTATCTGCTCAAACCACACTGCCAAGGGCTGCCTGAATTTCCTTATCTTTAGTTTCATACCTGAGTTGGAGGCAGTTAGTTGTTTTTTCCATTTTAAATGTGTGATTCAATTTTGAGAACTTCTTAAAAATAGTCTTGGGATTGTAAAAATCCTTGGAGTGGGGCCAAATTTTTCTGAATTAATATGCACTCTTCTCTGCCCTCAGTTACACATGACAGCCATTGACATTTCTTGTGTACATTTTCATACCCATTACTAATGTGCCACATGATGCCATTGTACTTTTACAAACACTTCTCAAAATTAGCTTTAAGCAAGTAGAATTCTCTTTCATTTAACATGTGATTATCTTAATAGGGAATGTGTGGTTAGAATCCAGCACAATAAACAGAAAATGTGCAGAATGAAATTTTAGAAGGTCAGCAGCTTCTTATTGCTACATATATTTTTGTATTGTTATTGATTAAAATTTGCATGTGCGTTAGCAGGAATTTTGTCTTAGTTTTAATTCCTCTGTTTATTAGCAATCAAGAAGAAAAATATGCTTTGGGGACTTAGTTTTATCTCCAGTGTTCTCTGACATCTCATACTGTTCATTTTAGAAAATATTTGGAAAAGTTGTTTACTATAATGCACTATTTATGAAAAGATACTAAAATATGGTTGAAAGATAATCTCCATTTGTTTTGTTTGTCTATCTGTATGTGGGCAGGCTGTATAAATATTGCATGAACATTAATAAATGCCTATTCAAAATAATGTTTCATGGCCTGCATATGCATACTTATAAAACACTTCTATTCTAAGATAAATGCCTAGAATATGAAAAGATACCGTTTATTTGGTTCCAAGTGTCCAGGAAATATTACAAAGACTCACACAGACTTAACAGCTATATTAGGCCTTTAGTAGGTTTGCTGAGCAACCTTTATTTATTCTCATGTATGGTGAGGTTAAAGAGACCAAATCTCAGACATAACACATAGGATTCAGTACCCCAGTAAAAAAGTAATTTATGATAAGTTTAAAAAGTACACATTTTAAAGAGATATTCTTAGTATGTTCTAGGGATTTGGTGCCTCTTTCTAAGTATAACACTAGATACTAAAACACAAATTTCTAAGGATTCTTCTCTTTTTTGAGCTGCTTAGAAGTTCCCTTGGAAGAAACACTGCACTCCTACAACAATGTAACGGCATGACAAATCATTGAAGTCTTTGGTGCGGCTTTGCACAATTAATAGCATATAGAGAGGCTATACTTCCCACCATCAACACCCTCCAACGCTTGGCAACCAATGACTGACATAGAGGTCTCAAAACCTGACTCTCTTGGCTCAAAGAGACCCAGTTCTGAAATGACCTTACTGTTTCAGAACTACAAATAGTGTTAGGCTGAGGCTAGACATCAACGAACACTACACCTTTGCTTAGTTTCTTCCTCTACCTGTCCTTTGCTTGCCATCCTGCAGGCTTCTCCTGAGAGCACTCCCTGAATAAATCCTTTGCTTGGAAATCCAGTTCTCAGGCTGTGCTTCTAGGCAATTGTATCTAAGACACCACTGATTTCACTCCTTCAATCCTAGAACCTTATTTAACATATATCTATTACAGACGTTGTGCATTCATATTAAAATTGAGTAAGAAATAATTCCTCTTCAGGCATTCAAAGCCTGGTGAGAATACGTGCCAGATCATGACATGATGTGAGGTGTTATGATAGAAGAAAGTGATGTGTTATGATAGAAGAAAGAACAAGTCTTGCAACAGGTGGGGGCTGGAGGCTTTGAAAGAAGGTGACAATTGAGCTGCATATTGATTACTAGAAACTTGTTAGTCAATAAGAATGGAAAAACAAAAGAAATTATTTTTTTTCCAAGACACAAAAGCATAATGATTTTGAGAAACTGTGGTGAGTGCATTGTGTTTAGAAAGTGCATATGGAAGAGCTATGAAAGATGAGATTGATGTTAAACACCACAGTGACATAAGCTTATTTGAAATTTAAAAATATATTAAAAGCCTTACTCCAGAGAAAGAGGAGGTGCAGTGAAAAAAGGGATAAGAGGCAGTGAGTAATCTGATGATACGAGGAGTGGCAGAGATAATTTTTGAGGATGTGGGAAATGAGAGATAGACTCAAAAGATTTATTTTTTTTTCTTTATTTCATCTAAAAAAAGGGATACATGTGCAGAGCGTGCAGGTTTATTACATAGGTATACGTGTGCCATGGCAATTTGCTGCACCTATTGACCCGTCCTTTAAGTCCCCTCCCCTCACCCCCCAACCCCCAACAGCCCCTGGTGTGTGTTGTTTTCCTTTCTGTGTCCATGAGTTCTCAATGTTCAACTCCCAGTTATGAGCAAGAATATGTGATGTTTGGTTTTCTGTTCCTATGTTAGTTTGCTGAGGATGATGGCTTCCAGCTTCATCCATCTCCCTGCAAAGCACATCATCTCAGTCCTTTTTGTGGTTGCATAGTATTCCATGGTGCATATGTACCACATTTTCTTTATCCAGTCTATCATTGATGGGCATTGGTGTTGGTTCTATATCTTTGTTATTGTAAATACTGCTGCAATAAACATGTGTGCATGTGTCTTTATAGGAGAATGATTTATATTCTTTTGGATATATACCTAGTAATGGGATTTATTAGGTCAAATGGTACTTCTGGTTCTAGATCCTTGAGGAATCACCACACTGTCTTCCACAATGGTTGAACTAATTTATGCTGCCACTCACAGTATAAAAGCGTTCCTATTTCTCCACAGCCTTGCCATCAACTTTGTTTCCTGACTTTTTAATAATCATCGTTCTGACTGGTGTGAGATGGTATCTCATTGTGGTTATGATTTACATTTCTCTGATGATCAGTGATGTTGAGCTTTTTTTCACACGTTTGTTGGCCACATCAATGTCTTCTTTTGAGAAGTGTCTATTCATATCCTTTGCCCACTTTTTGATGGGGTTGTTTGTTTTTTTCTTGTAAATATGTTTAAGTTGCTTGTAAATTCTGGATATTAGACCTTTGTCAATGGGTAGATAGCAAAAATTTTCTCCCATTCTGTAGGTTGCCTGTTTACTCTGATGATAGTTTCTTTTGCTGTGCAGAAGCTCTTTAGTTTAATTAGATCCCATTTGTCAATTTTGGCTTTTGTTGCAATTGCTTTTGGTGTTTTTGTCATGACGTCTTTGCCCATGTCTATGTCCTGAACGATATTGCCTAGGTTTTCTTCTAGGGGTTTAATGGTTTTGGATTTTACATTTAAGTTGTTAATCCATCTTGAGTTAACTTTTGTATAAGGTGTAAGGAAGGCCTCCAGTTTCAGCTTTCTACATATGGCTAGCCAATTTTCCCAGCACCATTTATTGAATAGGAGATCCTTTCCCCATTGCTTTTGTCAGGTTTCTCGAAGATCAGATGGTTGTAGACGTGTGGTGTTATTTCTGAGGTCTCTGTTCTGCTCCATTGGTCTATATGTCTGTTTTGGTACCAGTACCATGCTGTTTTGATTACTGTAGCCTTGTAGTATAGTTTGAAGTCAGGTAGCATGATACCTCCAGCTTTGTTCTTCTTGCTTAGTATTGTCTTGGCTATATGGGATCTTCTTTGATTCCATATGAAATTTAAAATAGTTTTTTCTAATTCTGTGATGAATGTCAATGATAGCTTGATAGGAATAGGATTGAATCTTTAAATTACTTTGAGCAGTATGGCCATTTTCACAATATTGATTCTTCCTATCTTTAAGGATGGAACGTTTTTCCATTTGTTTGTGTACTCTCTTATTTCCTTGAGCAGTGGTTTGTAGTTCTTTCTCCTTGAAGAGGTCCTTTACTTCCCTTGTTAGTTGTACTCCTTGGTATTTTATTGTCTGTGTAGTGATTGTGAATGGGAGTTCATTCATGATTTGGCTCTCTGCTTGCCTATTGATGGTGTAAGGAATGCTTGTGATTTTTGCACATTGATTTTGTATCCTGAGACTTTGCTAAACTTGCTTATCAGTTCAAGGAGTTTTTGGGCTGAGATTATAGGGTTTTGTAAACATAAAATCATGTCATCTGCAAACAGAGATAACTTGATTTTCTCTCTTGCTATACTCTTTATTTCTTTCTCTTGCCTGATTACCCTGGCCAGAACTTCCAATACTATGTTGAATAGGAGTGGTGAGAGAAGGCATCTTTGTCTTGTATTGGTTTTCAAAAGGAATGCTTCCAGCTTTTGCCCATTCAGTATTATATTGGCTATGAGTCTGTCATAAATAGCTCTTATTATTTTGATACATGTTCCATGAATAGCTAGTTTACTGAGAGTTTTTAACATGAAGGAATGTTGAAATTTATCAAAGGCCTTTTCTGCATTTATTGAGATAATCATGTGGTTTTTGTCTTTGGTTCTGTTTATGTGATGGATTACATTTATTGATTTGTGTATGTTGAACCAGACTTGCATCCCAGGGATGAAGCCAACTTGATCATGGTGGATAAGTTTTTTGATGTGCTGCTGGATTCGGTTGGCCAGTATTTTATTGAGGATTTTCGCATTGGTGTTCATCAGGGATATTGGCCTGAAGTTTTTTTGTTGTTGCTGTTGTTGTGTCTCTCCCAGTTTTGGTATCAGGATGATGTTGGCTTCATAAAATGAGTTAGGGAGGAGTCCCCCTTTCATTTGTTTGGAATCTTTTCGGAAGGAATGGTACCAGCTCCTCTTTTTATTTTTTCACATCTGAATCTTACCAGGGATTCAAGGGATTTAAAATCTGATAATTTACTAAATAGACAGAATGAGAGACAGAAAGAGTCTAGGAGGAATTCTAAGGATCTGGCTTCAACAATTGGGTATCTGATGATTCTAGGAAGAATACAAGGGAATGTCTCTTGATTCTGTCACCAAATACTTTTTATTTATATTGTCTTATAAATTGGCAATGCTTCTTTAGTAGGCACATTCACTGGTAGCTTGCAGATCCAGGAAGAAAGATCTGTTGATTTTTACCTTTGGAAAACCTTTACAAATATTTTCTTTCAAGGTGGCAAATTTGATCCCTCCTCCCCTACTCCCTTTATTCAACTCAACCTCTCTCTGTCAGTCGAAAATTTTATAAACCCTATTCTCTGGAAAACTTTGTCCCTCTATTTATTTTTAAATGGATTAGGCAGTTCTTAAACACAACAAATTGTGTTTTGGTTTCCTTTGCCAATATTGCTCTATTTGGAAGCCTATTTGCAAAAAAAAAAAAATTCTTTCATAGCTTTCAACTTACTGTTTGCTCAAATGGTTTTAATTGAAGATGCTAAAGCAGTGGTTTCAACTAGAATTTTCCCAGGGTTTCTTCAAGTACATGTAATAGAAGATTCATGTGTATGAATCTTCTATTCTCTGTTAACAGTAGAATCTTCTAAACTCTGGGAAGTTTATATTGTACTTATACTCTTGAGAGCAACTGAAACTAAGGTCCCACAAAAATCCCAAGTGGCTGCGCATAGTAGAAGCCTGTGTTGAGACATCTTAGACACAGAAAGCAAGCAGAATCTCATGTGAGAAATCTTGGAACAGATGCCTTAGAACAGAGTGCAGTGGCACAATCATAGCTTACTGCAGCCTCGACCTCCTGGGCTCAAGGGAACCTTTCACCTCAGTCTCCTAATTCACTGAGACTACGGGCACTTACTACCACATCTGGCAACTTAAAAAATTTTTTGTAGAGACAGGGTCTTGCATTGTTGCCACAGCTGGTCTCGAACTCCTGGACTCTAATGATCCTCCTGCCTTGGCCTCCCAAAGCACTGGGATTACAAGTGAGAGCCCAGCCTCCTGAGATTCTTTATTTAATGGTGGCTAATCATTCTCCCAAGGAACACTAGAGAGATTTTTTAGCTTTTAAACAAAATGTGAAGCTAAACTGAAAGCGAAATAAGAATATGATCACTTTTGTCAGAATAAATGATGAAGACTCTTGAGCATTTCCAGATTATTTTTGAAGAGGACAGTTTATTTTTAGAACACATCTTTTATTGTTAACTACAAATTCAATTAAGCCTAGAAAAAGCCCCAAATGGCCAAATGATTATGGGCCAAAATTATTTACTTATTTATAATATTTTTATTTCTAATATGTTCTGAATTTATAGCATATCTATTTAACATAAATGATAAGATTCATTTTCTGTTCATATTCCTGAACGAAATAGAAATATTAGAAATATTTCTGAAAATATATATCAGCCTGACTTTTATTCCTTGCCTTGTTTTCTCTTAGAACGTTATAAACAATAAGTCTATGAATAAGTAGTTATTAAGTGTGTGCTAGGTTTAAGATATTGTGTGATGATTACATCCTTGGAGGTAAAGTGCAATTTCCTGAGATGTAATATAAAACTTTAAAAAAATGATGACGTTCTGGCACTTGAATTACTAAGCTTTCTATGTATACAAGTTAGTGTGTACTCATACAACCCTGATAGATTTTAATATTTTACTAATTAGTAGAACAAAATAATTCTCTGTGGAAATAATTCTATCTCAGTATTGCTTGATGACAAAACTCAACCTCAGGTCTACAAAGATATTTAGAATATATGATTCAGAAGCTACAATAAGTCAACGGTTATTGGCTTGGAAATGAACTATAATGCAGACAACAATAAAAGCGTTCAAATATGGTTTGACTTGGTGAATTTAGTTACTATGTGATATTGGTATTTAGTGAGGAACTGGTTTACCATAGGAAATTATTTTTAAGCCAAAACACAAAGCAAATCAATATTTTTGCTTCTATGGTATTTTACAAAGGGCATTTCTACTTCACCACAATCAATTTTGCCAACCTGCTAATGCCTTTGACCCTGATCCGAGAACCTTTTGCTTGAACTTGGTGTCCCAAGTAAGATAAATATGGTCGTAAATGTGGTTTGTGGAGGGCAAAGGGACAGCCAGCCTGAGCTTAACCAACCAGTGCTAAGTGTAATATTATGGTGTAGAAGAGGAAAGAGGAAACATGCCAACTCAGAGATGAAAGAATTTCCTGTGCTTCACTCCTCAAAGCATTCGAAATTATTGAGTTGGCTCCTGATATACAGGAAAATATTCTAAACTGGAAAGTAATTTGTTTGACAGTATTTCCCCCCATGGTGAAAACCCATGAAAATAACCCCTATGTATTATAATATATAGGGTGAAAGTTGATATCCTATATCTCTAGTAATATTTTCCTTACATGAGGAAAGTCTCTGGAGTCTTGATAATTAAAACTACCCCATAATACTGACAAAGTGGATGTAGGTTGAGATTTTCCACCACATAAGTACTGGCTTAGTTTTATTGCCTGAAAAAAAATGTACTTTTTTTTTCATAAGTGAGTTTTTCTACATTTACTCTGTGCCAGTTCTAACATTTATTTTTATTTTATACAAGTTTTTATTTTTTTCTCATATAATTAAATTCAGATTTTTTATTGGTTGGAGTTGACTGCTTGGAAATTTTTGTCTTCAAAATGATTCCTGCAAATAACCTCTGACTGGTCTTGTTTCTGCATTGAAGAGAAGGTAGGGTTTAGATGGAGATGAAAGATAAGAAGGAAGTGTTGCTGACAAACAAAATCACTTTCATCATGGTGTTCCCACAGTTAAAAACTAAGTATATGTTAAAGCTTATCTCAAAAAGTACTATCTCATTTATTTGCCAAGGCATTTTTTTCATCCACAAACAACTTTATTTCTTTATTTATCTCTTGCTTTTTGTAATCTATTTCCCTACGAGTACTTATCCAAACTTATGTTTTTTTCCCCTCTGAAACTTTTCACATGATTTTCCTCCTGCCTAACATGCCTTTTCTTCTGCTTTCTGCCTGTTCAAATCTTACATGTTCTTCCAGGCCTTGCTGAAGCCTAGATAAAGCTTTCACAGACAAATCCTGGCCAAGCAAGCTCTTTGTGTGTGTTCATTATTTTAAATGCCTTTATTTATATTTATGTGATTATCTATCTGTCTATCTATCTATCTATCTATCTATCTATCTATCATCTATCTATATCTTTTTTTTTTTTTAGGCAAAATTTCGCTCTTGTCACCCAGTGCAATGGCTTGATCTCAGTTCACTGCAACCTCCGCCTCCCGGGTTCAAGCAATTCTCCTGCCTCAGCTGGGATTACAGGTGTTCACCACCATGCCCAGCTAATTTTGTATTTTTAATAGAGACAGGGTTTCGCCATGTTAGCCAGGCTGGTCTCGAACTTCTAACCTCAGGTGATCTGCAGACCTTTGCCTCTCAAAGAGCTGGGATTACAGGCGTGAGCCACGGCACCCAGCCTATCATCTGTCTATCCATATCTATCTCGCTTAGCGATAAATACCTAGACTTTGGAGTCTCACTGCCTGGATCACAGTCTCACAATTTTGTCTGTTCAGATGTGTAAGTCTAGGCTGCAATACCAATTAGTAGTAGAAGGAAAAGTTATGCATAAGTTCTGTTGGTGGAGATGGGTTATTTTATTTGTTAGATTGCTCCCACACTTTTAATTCAATATTTTTCTTGGGAAAGTTTTCATAGAAATAATGTTTGAGCTAGCTGAGCTTTGAAGTTCAGTTGGATACCTGAAGAAAAGAAAGAGTGTTTTAAGCAGGAGAATAGCATGAGAAATATTACAGAAGCAAGAAAGAACAAGGTGTGTTTGCATAAACAGTAGCAGATTAATTGAATATAATCTACAAAATAGAGATCCATTTAGGCTGCTGGTACCTAATAGCTCTGCTATTTAAAGTGTGCTCTTTTTCTTAAACGGTTTGGTTATATGAAATAATAAAAGATAGCTGAGATAATATGCATAGCACAATACAATTCATCACAACTATTTAGAGAAATGTGAACAGATGTGTCATTTTGGCTCAAAGAAACTATGTTCATGAGTCTTCTTTTTCAGTACATTAAATTCCTACTCTATTTAATAGCTATTTGCAGTATATCGAGTTTTGTCCTTAATTGATTATTTGTATGTGTTTTAAGCCTACCATAGTAATCATTATGGTTTCAACAAAAGCAAAAATAATCTTGTTTTTCTAACGTTTATCATAAATGCTGGACAGAGATCATAAATTAACCTACCATCAATGTTCTAAAAAGTTTTACTCTACATAGATGATGAGGCAACTATCAAAACATGTGATTGACAGGAGGAATTCTACCATACAACTTAACACTTTTTTGTTTCAGGTTAATATCTTGCTTCTAACTTAATTGAGTCCGGAACTGATATGAGATTATTGACATAGTATTGATCCAAGGTAGTCCTCATTATTTATCATTCTTGCACTTAACAAATCCTTATTGAGTACCCACTATGTGTGATAGGCATTGATATAAACACTTGTGATCCATTGGTGTACCAAACAGATAAGTAAACTTAACATTCTTGTGGTTATGTATATAACCATGCATATAACAAAGAATATATTTTAATGATTGTAAGCTTGAGCTCAAAAATGGAATAGAATTGGGGTCAAAGTTCAGCTCTAGCTTTAATTAGCTTGGTTTTTCTCCCTACGCTTCAGTTTCCCTATCTGTAAATTAGGGATAATGATGGTATCATCATCTTAGGGCTGTTGTGGGAATTAAGTGAGCTAATGCTTTTGAAGAGAATAATATGAATAATACTCTAGAACTTATTAAATGCAATTTATGTCACTTAAAGTATTAGATAATTATTTATGTTATCTCCTTAAAAATAGCATTTTATTAAAATAAGAATACATTGGAAGCTTCATTGGATGTGCAACCATACAGGTACATTTGGACTATTAACATTTTACAAAAGATAATCCTTTTTTTCTTGTGACTCTGCAAAATTGGAAATGTAGCTTGTTGCTGATTGTAGTTCTGAAAGACAGTTTGTACTTCCCAGAGCCTTAGCTGCTCTATGATTACAAAAGAGTAAACGTTACATGACTTTTTTACGTATACAGAGTATTACTCAGTAAATGACTAGTTCAGCATACCAAATGGTATTTTACTGGTCTGAAAGACCTTTCCAAAGTATCTAATATGTACCCAGAGAAGTTAGTTGTCTGACTAATCTTGAAAAAAATGGAACTCTGTAACTCACTCTTCTTATGTTTTATTTCTATTTTCAATTAGGTAGCTTGTAAATCAAAGGGTAACACTTATGTAAACAGCTGTTCATCTGAATTTATGGCAGTTAATGGCCTTGATTCATTTATTTATTCACTTATGCTTTCTTCTTCTTCTTTTTTTTTGAGTTAGTGTTTGCTCTGTTGCCCAGGCTGGAGTGTGTGACACAATCATGGCTCACTGCAGCCTCCAACCTCCTGGCTCAAGCATTCCTGCTGCCTCAGCCTCCTGAATAGCTGGGACTACGGGCAAGTGCCACCACACCCTGCTAAGTTTCCTTTTTTAAAAATTTTGTAGAGAATGGGTCTTGCCACATTGCCCAGGCTGGTCTTCAATTCCTTGCCTCAAGCAATCCTCCTGCTTGGGCCTCCCAAAGTGCTGGGATTACAGGCATGAGCCATCTCATCCAGCCTCATTTGTTCTTTTATTCATTAATTTGCTCATTTATTCATTATATTTAAAAAATGATACTGTATTAAAATATATAAGAGAAGTAGAAGATTGGCTGAGGAACTGATTTGGGGAGAGATGTAATGAACAGAGTACCTAGAAAATAAAGTTGCAATATCAGCACAATGCAACAAAAGCAAATGATTTATGGTGGTCAGGAAGTCTTCTTGGAGTCAAGTTGAAAGAAATGAATGCTGTGCATTGGCTAGGAACCAGTCAGGTATTAAAGGTAGGATGCATATTTAATCTTTTATGCTGGGATCTTTTATAGGAAGGCTATTTTCTATTCTTTTTGAACAACACCCCCATCATTTAGGTAAGGAGAATTAAAGTGCAAATAGCCAAAATAAAGCTTGCTCTTTAAGCACTCTCTCTTACGTTTTGAAGACGATGGCAAATTTTATTTGTACATTTAAATTTGCTTGACTTTTTTTCCCTTTACCAATTGGAAAATATGTCAAGACTAAAATGCATTCACTATAGACTAAAAACCACTTTAGCAGGGATGCACAATTTTCCCCCAACCCATGTGGCCTTGAAAATGAGCCTGCAAGGGAAGAAACTGGGCTGTATAAAAGTGTCTCTGATTCTTGGGTGGCTTGTGGTTAGTGTTATTGTTTTTAAGAACTGATTTTGGCTTCTGTGGTACATTGACCTGTGCATGGAATCCCAAGTAAACGTTTCCACTCGGTGGGACACTGGGTCAAAGACAAAGCCTTCGCTCCTTTTCCAGTAACAATTTTTTTTCTTTGCACTCACATGATGATTGAAAGCCCTTCTCTTTTTTTTAGGGCAAACCGTCTTTCTTCAAACAAGCATTCCGTAATTTGGGAAGCTTACTTTTAAGGCTAAAGTTCATCCCAAAGCAGGGTGAGACAACCTTCTATGTGGTTAATTTTAAGGATGTAAAAGGCTTGCTTTCCACTTACCGTTCAATTTCCTACAAAGAGCTATTTCCAGAATTAGCCCTTAACATTTTGGTTAAGCCATGTTTCTCCAGAGGGCCACTACTAACATCCTCTGATTTAAACCATTGGCAGCTTGAACACAGATTAGTTTATTGGATTATCTAGAAAGGCTGTAGAGCCCTCTCCCTTCTCCCTTCTCCCTTCTCCCTTCTCTCTTCTCCCTTCTCCCTTCTCTCTTCTCCCTTCTCTCTTCTCTCTCTCTATCTTTCCACGGTCTCCCTCTGTTGCCGAGGCTGGACTGTACTGCCGTGATCTGGGCTCGCTGCGACCTCCCTGCCTTGGGCTCCCGTGATTCTCCTGCCTCGGCCTGCCGAGTGCCTGGGATTGCAGGCACGTGCCGCCATGCCTGACTGGTTTTTGTATTTTTGGTGGAGACAGGGTTTCGCTGTGTTGGCCGGGCTGGTCTCCAGCAGTGATCTGCCCGCCTCGGCCTTCCAGGGTGCTGGGATTGCAGACGGAGCCTCGCTCACTCAATGCTCAATGTTGCCCAGGCTGGAGTGCAGTGGCGTGATCTCGGCTGGCTGCAGCCTCCACCTCCCAGCCGCCTGCTTTGGCCTCCCAAAGTGCTAAGATTGCAGCCTCTGCCCGGCCGCTACCCCTTCTAGGAAGTGAGGAGTGTCTCTGCCTGGCCGCCCATCGTCTGGGATGTGAGGAACGCCTCTGCCCGGCCGCCACCCCGTCTAGGAAGTGAGGAGCGCCTCTGCCCAGCCGCCCCATCTGGGAAGTGAGGAGCGCCTCTGCCCCGCCGACCCATCTGGGAGGTGTACCCAACAGCTCCGAAGAGACAGCAACCATGGAGAACGGGCCATGATGACCATGGCGGTTTTGTCGAAAAGAAAAGGGGGAAATGTGGGGAAAAGAAAGAGAGATCAGATTGTTACTACGTCTGTGTAGAAAGAAGTAGACATAGGAGACTCCATTTTGTTCTGTACTAAGAAAAATTCTTCTGCCTTGGGATGCTGTTAATCTATAACCTTACCCCCAACCCCCTGCTCTCTGAAACATGTGCTGTGTCAACTCAGGGTTAAATGGATTAAGGGCGGTGCAAGATGTGCTTTGTTAAACAGATGCTTGAAGACAGCATGCTCCTTAAGAGTCATCACCACTCCCTAATCTCAAGTACCCAGGGACACAAACAGGGCTGAAGGCCGCAAGGACCTCTGCCTAGGAAAACCAGAGACCTTTGTTCATGTGTTTATCTGCTGACCTTTTCTCCACTATTATCCTATGACCCTGCCACATCCCCCTCTCCGAGAAACACCCAAGAATGATCAATAAATACTAAAAAAAAAAAAAAAAAAAAAAAAAAAAAAAAAAAAAAAAAAAAAAATCCAAAAAAAAAAAAGGAGAAAGGCTGTAGACAGATGAACACTGATGCATACATTTTTATAGGGGACAGGGAAAGGACAAATAAGGAGTGTGGTACATTGTCCAGTTGGATGTCAGAAAATAGCAGGGTGCTATTTATTGGAGGTAGCTGAATGGACACCTTACAAAGGGGTAGAAGACTGCAAATGAGAAAAAGAGGATGGTGAGAGATGAGAACCCCCAAAACAAACTGTTCATATAACAAACATGTCTGAGGCTTTCTCTGATTAGAGTGAGACCCTGACTGGGGTTTCTGTGCTTAGAGTGAGGCTCTAATCTCACTCTAATGTCTGATTCATCCAGACATTCGGCCTGTGAGAGGGCTACATCAGGGATTCCGAGAATTAAGATGTGGCATTAGGGCTACATTGTGCAAAGTTGGAGTAATGCAAATTGTTCAAGACCTTAGTATTCTCATAAGCAAAAATATGGAACACCTTTTAGAGTTTCAGAAAGGTTGGCTGTTCTTTAAAGTGTGAGCCCTTCAGGTACAGCCTGGGCCTATGGTACACTAAGATACATGTCAGGGCTCCATCACAGTGTTCTTCCGAATGGAATGTGCTAGACTCATGTGACAGTCCAGAACTTGTGGTTTCATATGCCCTTTGCCTTGTATGTCCAGCTTTTCCCCTGTTCAGTCACCTCCCATGTATGCCTCCAGTGGTGTCCGCCATCTCTCCTTAGCCCAGTCCTCATTTCTCACTCCACCTGAGTGTAATTTCTGGGCAAAGAGAATTGCAGCCACTTCAGCTTCCTGTCTTGTCTTTAGGGTTTCGAATTAAGCCTTATTCTTGGGCTGGCCATGACTACCTTAATTCCTCACTCTGAATGCTCCTTTGTCTCCCTGACTAGATGCAGATTTTTCTTTCTTACCAGGTGGCACTATGATGTACCCAGTTGCTCAAGCTAGGTATGTATGATGCTTCCTTTAATTCACTCTCTATCAGTGATTTCTGCTAACTTTGTGATATGGTTTGGCTGTGCCCCACCCAAATCTCATCTTGAATTGTAATCCCCACAATCCCAGGTGTCATGGGGCGACCCAGTGGGAAGTGACTGGATCGTGGGGGTGTTTCCCTCATCCTGTTCTCAGGACAGTGAGTGAGTTTTCATGATGTCTGATGGTTTTATAAGCATCTGGCATTTCCCCTACTCATGCTCACTCTCTCCTGCCACCTTGTGAAGAAGGTGCCTGCTTCTGCTTTGCCTTCCACCATGATTGTAAGTTTCCTGAGACCGCCCCAGCCATGCAGAACTATGAGTCAATTAAAGCTCTTTTCTTTAGAAATTATCTTGTCTCTGGTGGTTTTTTTTTTTTTTCAGAATGGACTAATTAATACACTTTGCATCTGGAGTCATTCTTTCTTCTCTATCTTTACTGTTACCACCAGAGACAAGACCACTGCCATGTTTTACCAAGTCTATAGAATACAGTCTTCATAGGTCTACTCAGTTCTGCTCTTGCTGTTCCACAATCTCTTGCTCACTTCGTCCCATGACTGACCTTCCCAAATGTAGATTGGGCTCATATCATTCCCCATATTAAAGACTTTCAATGTCTTCCTGTTGAACTTAAAATAAAATCAGCCTTTTTAGTAAAGTTGAGAAGGCCTGATGTGGCCTTGCTCTGCTCCTGTTTCTACACCTTCATTTTATATTATTCTCTCTCTTGCTCACTATTCACTATACTTCAGCATAATGAACTTCTTTCAGCCCCTTGGTCACATCAAGCTCTTCTGCATTTTAGAACATCTGACTGAAATCACGTTTGTTCTGTTTCTTCCATGACTAGATCTTTCTGTTTGTCAGTCTTTTTACTTTGGTGTTATTTCAACCTTCTGGTTTTTTGTTTGTTGCATGTACTCCAACAGTTAATTAACTTAATTATTTTTGCGTTTACACATTTGTTTTGTCTCTTGTATGTCTGTGTGCTCTTTGAGGTCATAGTCTCATCAGTCTTTCTCACTCACAGGTATTAAGATTGTAATATACTCTCTGACACATAGTAACTGCTTAATAAACATTCAATATGCAAATAGTCATGGTTAAGCCCTGTTTCTAATACTTCTGATGACGACCGTATCCCTGCTTACTTTAGAACTGCTCCTCCAAACATGCCCTGATTCTACATGACTATCCAGCCATAGATTAAATTGGCACACAAATGAATTAGGTTCACATCACTCAGGAACTTTGAATTTCTAGCCATTTCCCTCTAAATTAACTGCTAAACAGTTTTTTTTTTTGCCCTGAATCTAAAGAATTATTGTTGCCAGCATCTTAGGTATTGAAATATATTAGTTAGCAAACACAAAATTATGAACACAACTGGTTTTATAATTTCCCAAGCAAGTCATGCATGCCTTGAGAACTTTTGAGATTTTATTGAAGATGACTTTTCCTAGTCATGAGCATCATTCTGTTTTCCCACCTCACATCTCCGTCTAGAAGAGTTAATCACAAGAAGTTCGCAGGTGGAATTGCATGGAAACATCAGAATAAGCTATTTAGTTGAAGAAAAACTAAATATCTGACTACAGTTATTAGCTCCAAAGTATATCTGACCCAATGGCATTCAATAGCATGTATCTCACACTGTATTGCATAAAGGCTTGACTCCAATTCAGGAGTTTAAACTTTGCTCACTGTACATTTGCTTTTCAGTAATGTTAATTAGCTAATTTGTGAGACACTAGCTATAATTAGCATGGTGCTTTGATATTTTATTTCTAACAACAGGAAGATGATTACCTTAAAAAATAATAAAAGATTTAAATCTAAGTAAGGATCTAAATTACAGTCGTTGAGTTGTGGAGAAAAGTGAATTCAGTTAATCCCCATTTGCATGTGCCAATTAGTTAAGTATTAATCAATTTCCTATATAAATGGAAATGAGAATACCAGCATTCTTTGGTAAGATAATGTTTCTCATTAACACAAACACAACCTCCTGGCATTTCATAAAAAAAAAAAAAACTTCCACTTTTCATTTTTCTTCTTCAGAATATCTGTTGATTTATTTTCCATTGTGATAGAATCTGTGCATCTTAACACATTTGTAGACGTCTTTTCAGAATTTATCTTAGAATTTTAGAATAAAAAATAGCAAAATTGAGCAGAATTTATAGTATGCATTAATTATTTTTCTTTATTTAAAAAAGTTTTAAATGTCAAAACTCAATTGATATTTTAAGGTATAGAAAAGTAAGTAAGGAGCAGCTGAAAAATTTCAGATGAGCCATAGCTCATCTGTGTATCTATCTATCTTCAGTGTATCTGTGATAGAGACAGGAGACAGCCAAGGATCCCCGGTGAAACCCCGCCTTAAAGCCTAAAATAGCCTGAAGGCTGAAAAACCGGACTGCTGGTCCCGGGATGAAGCTGGCCCTTTTCCCACTGATTCTCTCTGAATAATGCCCACCTGCGCACTGGGAGGACGGGGTGGAGCCTTGGGAAGTTCCGGGCGTTTGCAATGGGAAGGAGCCTGGCCTGGTCAGTTCCTGGGTGGTGACCTGGGAATCAAACCGTGAGGCGGGAGTCCTGCAGCGGGACTCTGTCTGGCTTTGCTGAGAGTCCCTCTTTCCTTTCTTCCTTTCACCCAATAAACCCTGCCCTACCCACCATACAATGTGTCCACGTGCCTAGATTTTCCTGGTCATATGACAAGAATCTGTTTTTTTCTACGTCTGTCTATTTATCTATCTATCTATCATCTTTCGTCTCTATAGCTAACCAAATGTGTAGTATGCACGTGTACATATGTTTAAAATACAGTACCTATATTTAAAACAAATATTGCCATTGATCGATACATCAATTAAGTGGGCCATATTTTTGGCATTTGAAAAATCAAAGGCACAGATCTTTCCATGTCATTAGGAAATAAATGAACAATTTTTAAAAAGTACTTTTAACGAACTTTTAGCTTTGTTGCTTAATTTTGTACAATTTAGGGCTGACATAGACATGGAATTCACAGAAGCATGAACATGTCAGCATTCTCTGTCGTTTAGAGTTGGTATTCTGGGGTATATTTGCTCCATGACAGCCTGGCACTGCGTCATCATATTGACATCCCCCCAAAATTCAGTGACAAATTATTACTGTAAGAAGTGAGAAACTAAAATAAAACCAGGTTGGATCTTCAAAATGCAGCTAATGTGGGAAATAGGGTAATATGATGAATAGACTAGGGGTTTGTTTCTCTATTACCTTATTAAAAAGTTTAATTTTAGGTGTTGCTATCAATTGGCCAATAGAATCCCAAATTACACCTTCTTGATTATTAGATTTTTTTCTCTACCACTTTTAAAAGGTAATATCAATTTCCAAAATTTTAATCAAGTCACAAACTTATGAAGATAATGTAAATTATATTAGTCTTAAAATGTTTCCCTGTTTTATTGATTTAATAAAACAAACAAACCAAAACCACCTACAACTTAAGACTTAAAAATAATTAAAGTAATAAAAGTGAAAAGCTTCTCTGCCCACTCCTATTCTTAAAATCTCAACGCCCAGAGGTAACTATAAGTAATATTCTGTGCCTATATTTGAAATTTTTAAAAATTTTATTCAAAAGTATCCACATATATACAAATATAATACACTTTTCAAAAATGGAATTGTGTTGATAAATATGGTTATACCATAATTTGTTCAACTATTTCCTTATTGGTGTATAATTAGTTTTTGTTTTCTTTTCCATTACAAAGGATGCTTTAGTAACATCCTAGGACAAATATTTGTCTCCTAGAGGGCTTCTTTCTTTTTGTTTGTTTGCTTTTTTGTTTATATCACTAAACAGAAGGCTTCGATTCATTTCAGTTGAAGAAAGTCTGTGAGAGGGCCTATTTCCTTGCACCTTTATCATCCCTAAGTTTTGGCATTCTCTCAATTTTTGTCAATCCTACGGTAACGTTATTTTACATGTCTTTAAATACTAATAAGGCAGAATATCTTCCAAATGTTTGCATATTGTCCATTTGCATTTCCTTTTCCTTCAATCTCCTATTTATTTCAGTGTTATGAACCCACACGAGACTGTAATATCAGTAACTCTGTGGTCATTATGAAGCCCCTAAATTCAGAATAAGGTTTGAATGCAGATGGTTTTCCTAATCTTGTGATAAAATAATCAAATGCTCTTAATATTTCTTTTATTTTCCTCTGGTTTCAAGATCTGAACTCTTCCGTTATTTGGCTAGGATATGAAACCAATTGAAACTAAAAAAGAAAATATTTGAAACAACTTTGCATCTGAATTGATAAGAGGGTATACTTTGTGATGGTGCTAATGACATAAACGCCTCTCTTCGGGTTTATTCAGATGACACTTAAGGGCTCACTCAAAGTTCAAAAGCTAGGACTATTTAACTTTTGAACAAGAAGGGAATCACACAAAGTGTAATTTACTACTGAAAATGTTCTGATTGTGGCTGCCTAGTTGGAGGCCAGTCTACACACACACACACACACACGCACACATACATATATGTCTGTATATGTATGTGTTATGCATGTGTCTATATTTATATCTATATCTACTTAAATTTTTTTCTAAAATATGTATCTGTGATTTCAGAAGACCAGTTTGGATTTTGATCAATAAAAATATTTGGTAAAACTTAAATAGTAATTATTTCTGATTGGCATTATTTTAAGAATCTATAAACTTTTTGATAGTATTTTAGAAAGTTGTCAGTAACAAATTCTGCCTTGGAAATAACTTAGACTTCTTAGCTACCATTGTTCTTTTTAAAACGATTTTAAAAAAATGTTTCTAGTAGTTGATATTTTTTTCTAAAACATGATTAATAATGAAAAATCAAAAATTCATTAACAAATTGCTTTAATTCACAGGGCATTTTGTTTATGAAGATGTTATAATTTTAAAATATTAGCAGAATTAATTCTATAATAGCTCTTTGAGAATAGCAAAGGTTAGTAGGGATGTATGGGTAGTCAGCAATGGCCATATACTCTATGTGCCACAGTTGAAAGGTGGCTTTGATTGTATTGCAATATTGTATTAACTTGCACTGCTTTCTTTATATCATATACTGTCAACTCACTGCTCTAGTCATTTAGGTATTTACTGAGGTTTCAATATTTAGACTTTTAAAGTCTTTCATTGTCATAAGCCACTTTATTTAATTCCTTCATCTCAGGAATGGTAATTCTACCACCTCCCTGACATCACAGTGACATGATTAATTCGTTAATGTTTGTAAAGTGCTTTGAGAATGTAAAGCGCTAAATAAGTGTTAAGCACTTTTGAGTATCACAATCAATCAACATAATGTTTTATAGTTCAAAATCTCTTGCTACTTCAAATACAGTAATTCAGTTAATGTGAGAGTTCTTATGAAATTGAAACTTTGTCACAAAATTAACAGAAATTTTGTAAATTATAAATATGTAGCAGGGATCAGGGAGTTATACTGATTTATCTATTTAGTGTTTTAGTTTGTATCCAGCATTAATTTTCATCTTTAACCAAAAACAAGAAAAATTTCTTATTTTAATTTTCTACTTTAATTTTATATATTGTGAATGCTCCTACAATAATGTATTATGTAGTCTCCATAGCTGTCCTGAATTGTGAATACAGCATCTAATTTCCAAAGGTATTGCTGCTATCTTTCAAAGAACATCAGAGGGCTGGAGTTATAATTAATTTATCCTTGTATCTTTACAAAAATCTAATAAATGGCCTTGCATTAATAAAAAAAAGTGGCAAGAATTTTGTAATATAGATTTTAGGTGCTATGAGACAATTTTTGTATCTAGTACAAGTAATCTAAGAACAACTGAAAGAGGCTTGATATAATCCAGATATATTGACTCTAAGACTAGTTGTACTGATAATGAAGGTAAGAAACACAAATTCTTTTTCATTTCTTTAAATTCCGGAGGACATTCATATCTTTGTGCAGAAGTGACACATTAAATCAAGTTTATTCATCCATATTAAATGTAAAAATGAGGGAATGATAACTAGAAAATAATTCCTTGTTATTAAAATAGCAAATAAAGTATTCTTTAAAAGTACCATAAACAGATAACTCAAATACATAAAAATACATTGCAGTCTTTGTTATAGCATGTAATTTCACTTTCTTGGGGAAATGTTTAAAGCACATAATGGACAGAATTAAAGAGCAAACAGAGTTTATGTAGCCTAGACAGCTTTCTCGTGCTTTTGTAGATCTAAGGACATTTTTTCTCTGTGTTGACGTCAATTTTTTCATGAGAATAATCTGAGAATGGCAAAGGATTTAATTAGGTAACTGACTTTGCAAAAACAAACCACATTTAAAGAAAAGTACAGATCCCAGAATCCCCACTCATTCTGGGAATTTATTTTTCTGGGTTCCTGAAGATTGTGTAGAGTAATCTTATAGATGAGAACAGTGAGTTTCAACACATTCCTGTAATTTTGCTGGGGCACAAGACTAAGCTGGTGGGCTGCTCCTTCAAGTGTACTGGTCATCTCGCCACTCTCTGTGGGTGAGGGATTGAGCATAGGTTTGGGAATTAGGCAGACTTGGCTTGGGGCCAACTTCTGTCTTTGCCACATTCTATTTGTGTGACTTTGAGCACATCACTTACCTGCATTTCGGTTTTAGTTTCTTGTACAATGGAGAAGTAAAACCTGCTTTTCTGGGTTGCTGTAAAGATTGCAGATTATGTACCATAAATACACAGTGCAGAGGCTGATATACAGAGCTCCAGACTTGGAGCTCAATAATTGAGGGCTAAATAATATAATTAGCTGGCAGTGCTTTTACACATATTTATCTCAATTAGAAAACGGTGATTATTACCATAGTGTATTATATTAATTATATTAGTATAGTAGCTTACACTAAACAACTCTCTACATTTATTCACTTAATTTCACTACAATGCTAGGCTGGTGCTTTATTTCTATTTTACGAATGGGAAAACTGATACAGAGAGAGATTAATGGATGTGTGTAACACAATCAAGACTCATGAAAATTAATTACCCAACCCAAGGCCACAAAGCTTGTGCCTAGAGACCTGGACCTCTGTCAAGTTGGCTTGTCTTCCCTTTTGCATGTTATGCTACAGCTGTTTGCAGAGATGACTTATTAATTTTACCCTTTAGCAGTGATCCTAAGTATAAGCAAGAGAAATCCCCCCGAAAAGGAAGAGAAAAAAAAAATGAGGGCAGACAAAGAAGAAAGAAATGGATAAGAGTAGAAGAGTTCAAAATGTGGTATGTAGGGGTCCTGAATAACCAACGCCATTGACACATTCTTTTACATTAATTTCAGGAGTTTTTAAAAAAAGCCACACTATTTTGTTACTGTGGTGTAAAATTAATTCCAAAAGAATAATTTTTTTTCTTAGTATGCTATCAGTTAGACAAGATCAGTTTACACAATATCTTCTCTTTGTCACCAACTTTCCTGACTAAAATAAACTCAATATAGTATCTGTAACTGACATAGCACTCATTTGTCACTGGTGAATGCACATAATGTCGTCCACTGTGGCAGTGACTTTATCCATGGTTCCTTGGGGAACCAGAGTATATCACTTACCATGCTTGGTGAGCTCATAAAGCTATTTATAATGTGTAACACAACCATTAATAGGTTAAATATTTATAACCATATTTAATAGCTGTGTATCATTGGTATAATAAAAAACACATATAGAAAGAAAGTGGTTTCTCTTTCAAAGGCAAAACTGATGTCTTGGTTTTTAAATGTACCTGAGAGGGAAATTAGATTAATATTTACACAAATCTCAGGAAAGGTGTCCTACCATTTTTGTAGCATATCCTTAATAGCATTATTACTTATGTGAACACTACATAATTTTTTGGAGTTTTATTTTTCTTTCCATCTTGTGCCTCTCTGTGAAGTTAGTTCATGTGGCATTAGTTTATCTGATACACATCTCAAAGTTAGTCCATATAAAACTGAACACCTGAACCCACCCTTCCACAATGGCTCACCTGAAAATCATCCTTTCCTAGCTGATGGCATGTTCCATTCTTTTTGTTGCTCATGCTACTAACCTCGGAGTCATTCATCCTTCACTTCTGTCTTTCTCTTCTCTCTCTCTGGATGTTATTAGAAACATGTTCTTTAACATAAAATATCTTACAGTTTCAGAAAGTTCACAGATACCTTGAAGCCTAGAAACTTTATGTAATTTAGCTTAAGAACCTCTATCAAATGCCTCTTCCAAGTTTACAATCACAATGTGTTTTAAAGTTTTTATTGTAAAATGATATAAAATAAAATATAATTATTTTCTAGTAAATAAATGATACATTAATAGTTGGTTCTTTTAATCAATAGAAATGTTACCTTAATTGGCACTTCTCATTTTCTTTCCAAGTATTGGTAATAAGAAAGCCTTGTGTGGAAAGTTAGTCATGAAAGCACTTAAGAGTCAGTCAAGGGACTACGGATCTACCTTAACCAATTCTAGAGAACTTGGGTATTCATAGTATGACCAAAGGATGGGGCTTCTGTAGCTCACCAGGTTTTAAAGCTGATTTACAACTGCAATATGAAAAGAGTGTCACTACCATGTATGCAAGAAAAAGATGTGAGAAAGTTAAAAAAAATTCGCACTGGGAATCGTACTTTGGTAGGTTAATCAACAGCAACCAAGAACATTTTTATTATACAATTTGAAATTGCACTATTATCATATAAACTTTGTTGAGTCTGAAAAACCCTTGCTTGAGATTCTTAGTTCTTGACTTTAGAACTATGACAGTCTATCTGTTGCTCAAGAACTATGCTTATTGTTTTAAGTTTTAAGCGATAATAAAGGACCTGGATTTTCTTGATCATGTCTCTTTTCCATTTCTTTCATAATATTATTTCTTAAGGAATTATGTTTTTATTTTAAGGCTTTAATCTTTAATCATTTATAAGTGAGTGATTCAGCTTTTAAATCAATACCCCCAAATTTAAAACAATAACAATTACAGCATTTCAATTGAAATATTGACTATCAACCCTCCGAGAAAGCAGAGGTAAAACTTACTTCCTATGAACAGAACAAATTGAATTTGGACCCTTCTAGGTGTATCTATGTGTTCTTATAGCAAAGTTGGGAAGTTCTAAAGAAATTTTAGTAATAATTAGCATAATTTTGGATTATAACTCACATACTTGGAATTCTAAATTTTAGAATAGTTTATGATTTAAGAGATCAAATACTTTATTTATTTATTTATTTATTTTTGAGACAGAGTCTTGCTCTGTTGCCCAGGCTGAAGTGTAGTGCACAATCATGGTTCACTGCAACCTCAACCTCCTGAGTTCAAGCGCTCCCAGGACCTCAGCCTCCCAAGTAGCTGGGACCACAGGCATGTGCCAATAGATTTTTAAAAGTCTTATTGAGTTAGGAATATCAAAGAAGCTAAAAAAATATGTGTTTGTGGAATTATTTAAAAAATAAGTAGCAAAGTCAGAATTTGAGAAGTTATTAGATACAATATCATTTTATTGTTAAAATGAAAGAAATGTTTTTATTTATTGAAACTAACATTGGTACAAGTTTCTATCATATTATAGTAAACTTTTAGAGTTAGAGGTGATTTTAGAGTTTGCTTCATTATAAATTAAGTACAATAAATATTTAGGAGTACTCAATATTGAGATAAAAAATCCAAAAATATTTTTCATCATTAACTGTGTTAGGAACTATGAAGTATAAGATAAATATATGATGCCATTTTATTGTGGTCATTATCATACAACATACAGCAAGAGGAATAAACCTTTTGCTATTGCTCTCTTTTTCCACACCACTGGCAGTCACTACTAACTGAAACCTACATATATATGCTAAAACCTGGGAGTGGTTTCATAATACTTTGAATACATTCCTTAAAATTATCACTTTCACTTGATCTGAGTTGGCTAATAGGTGGAACTTACCATTCTATATCCATAGTACAACATACGTGTCATAGCTTATGATCTTGTCTGGCTAAGAATTATATCCTTTTTGTTGGAAAGATTTGAAAAGTGTATTGTACAACTTTTTCTCTGGGATCGTCCAATGCACTGCTGCTAAGCACTTCAGCTTTCTCCTTAAACCGGCCCATGGCTCTTGAATAAATACAATAATACATCTTTCATATTTATAGGGAGTACATGGTATAACATACCTAACAACTTTCAGGAAACCTAATAAATTATCACCAATTATAAAATTCTGAGTATAGAAAGTAATTCGTTTAGAAAAGAACACCAAATAACATTATTTCAAAAAATTAAGGGGCTAAGGGCATATTTAGATATACCTTTGGTACCCAATATAGCAGCCTATGATAATAATGACATATTTTTTCCTTATTATTACTGATGTAATATAAAAGTCTCCTGCAAAGATCAATATGACATTTGAAAAAAAGAATCCAAGAATAAAAGCATGCATATATTTAGTGTAATATTCTTTGCTTTCCTTAACTTGGAGCATAAAAGCTTTTTAGTAACTGATGTAAAATTCTTAAAATAGACTGCATTATCTTCAACCATATTATCTATTCCCATAGGTCATACAATGACAAAGTTTCCACCAGAATACCAGGAAATATACAAAAGGAGTCAGTACATGGTATTGTTTTCTTCATGTCTTTTGGGAGAGATGCTAAATTTGATTCTGATTTTTAATGTAACAATAAAAAAGATAAAGATATATTTCAGTTTTTAAAAGCATCATAAGTTAGGGTATACTATATTAAGTTTTCTCTGATTTCTAATGCCATATAAAAATGTGAAAGCTCAGATGTTACATTGCTACTAATATTCATTCATTATTAAACCGTTATTTTCTAGATCCTAATTGTTCTAGATTACAGCAATGAAAACAAAAGCAAAACACATTTCTTTCTGTGGTAGGCAGCCTCTAAAATGGTCCCCAACGGTCTCTGCCTTTTGGTACTTACATCCTTGTATAATACCCTCCCCCGAGTGTTTGCTGAACCTAATGATTCACTTCTAATGACTATAATACAGGAAAAGAAATGCGATGCCATTCCAAGATTAGGTTATGAAAAGACTGCCTTGCTCAAGCTTTCTCCTGCCCTCCTTCTCTCCAGGAGTCCTCACTCTGAAGAAAACAACTTATCTGGCATATTGTGAGCTGCCTATGGAGAGGTCCATGTGTCAAGGAACTGATATCTCTAATCAACATCCAGTGAGAACCTGGTGCATGCCAATGGCCATCTGAGGGAACATGGAAACGTATCTTCTGAGACTTCCCAACTAGATGTATGAATGAGTTTGGAAGTAGATTCTTCCCCAGTTGAGCCTTGGGTTGATTATTGTCTCTGCTAATACCTTGATTGCAAGATACCTTGAGTCAATGGCACCCGGCTAAGCTGAAACCAGACCTGACCCAGAGAAACTGAGATAATAAATGTTTATTGTTTTAAGCTGCCACATTTTGAGGGTAATTTGACACACAGCCATAAATAATGAATACAGTTGCCCTCATTGTTTATATTAAAATGTTCACACCGACCTAAGGAGACATTTTGGAGTACAGGGGGATACAAGAAGAAATGTGAACAGCATGGCAGTTCCTCAAAAAATTAAACATAGAATTAAAATATGATACAAGAATTTCACTTTTGGGTATATATACCTAAAACAATAAAAAAAATCAGGGACTCAGAGGCCGAGCAGCGAGGCCCATCTCCCTGAAATAACAGTAACCTAACCCTGTGGGTCATTATCATGCCCTCTGACCTGGCCAAGAAGAAGGCTGCCAAAAAGAAGGAGTCTGCCAAAGCTCTACAGCAGCCCAGAAAAGGACATGAAGAAAATGGAGACGCTGTCACAGAACCACAGGTGGCAGAAATGAGGCCAATGGCAAAGACACCGCAGAAGTGGATTTGCTGACCAAGGAGCTAGAGGACTTTGAAATGAAGAAAGCTACTGCTCGAGCTGTCACTGGCATCCTGGCCTCCCATCCCTGCAGTACTGACGTTCACATTATCAACCTCTCACTCACCTTTCACGGTCAAGAGCTGCCCAGTGACACCAAACTGGAATTGAACTCAGTCCGTCATTATGGCCTCATTGGCTTAAATGGAACTGAAAATTCCATGCTGCTCTCTGCTGTTGGGAAACATGGAGTGCCCATCCCTGAGCACATCGACATCTACCATCTGACTCGAGAGATGCCCCCTAGTGACAAGACACCCTTGCAGTGCGTGATGGAAGTCGACAGAGAGCCGGCCATGCTGGAGAGGGAGGCAGAGTGACTGGCTCATGAAGATGTGGAGTGTGAGAAGCTCGTGGAACTCTATGAGCACCTGGAGGAGCTGGATGCCGATAAGGCAGAGATGAGGGCCTCACAGATCTTGCACAGACTGGGTTTCATACCTGCCATGCAGTGCAAGAAGCTAAAAGACTTCAGTGGGGGCTGTAGGATGAGGGTTCCCCTTGCCAGAGCCCTCTTTATTCGGCCCTTCATGCTCCTCCTGGATGAGCCCACCAACCACCCAGACCTAGATGCTTGCATGTGGTTGGAAGAAGAACTAAAAACTTTTCAGCATATCTTAGTCCTTGCCTCGCATTCCCAGGGTTTTCTGAATGGTGTCTGTACCAACATCATTCACATGCACAACAAGAAACTGAAGTATTTTATGGGTAATTATGATCAGTATGTGAAGATGTGGCTAGAGCTGGAGGAGAGAACCAGATGAAGAGGTTTCACTGGGAGCAAGATCAGATTGCACACATGAAGAACTACATTGCGAGGTTTGGTCATGGCAGTGCCAAGCTGGCCTGGCAGGCCCAGAGCAAGGAGAAGATGCTACAGAAAATGATGTCATCAGGACTGACAGAGAGGGTCGTGAGTGACAAGACACTGTCATTTTATTTCCCACCATGTGGCAAGAACCCTCCACCTGTCATTATGGTGCAAAATGTGAGCTTCAAGTATACAAAAGATGGGCTTTGCATCTGCAATGATCTAGAATTTGGAATTGACCTTGACACACGAGTGGCTCTGGTAGGGCCCCATGGAGCAAGAAAGTCAACTCTTCTGAAGCTGTTAACTAGAGAGCTACTACCCCCAGATGGCATGATCTGAAAACACTCTCATGTCAAGATAGGGCATTACCATCAGCATTTACAAGAGCAGCTGGACTTAGATCTCTTGACTTTGGAGTACATGAAGTGCTACCCAGAGATCAAGGAAAAGGAATAAATGAGGAAGATCATTGGGCCATATGGTCTCACTGGGAAACAACAGGTGAGCCCAATCCAGAACTTGTCAGATGGGCAGAAGTGCCAAGTGTGTCTGGCCTGGCTGGCCTGGCAGAACCCCCACATGCTCTTCCTGGATGAGCCCACCAATCACCTGGATATTGAGACCATCAACGCCCTGGCAGATGCCATCAATGGGTTTCAGGGTAGTATGATGCTGGTCAGCCATGACTTCAGACTCATTCAGCAGGTTGCACAGGAAATTTGGGTGTGTGAGAAGCAGACAATCACCAAGTGGCCTGGAGACATCCTGGCTTACAAGTTGCACCTCAAGTCCAAGCTGGTGGATGAGGAGCCCCAACTCACCAAGAGGACCCACAGCGTGTGAGACCTCTACCCGGGCTCGCATCAGGATCTCCATCTGGGAACTAACAGCTGCTACCCTGACCAGCTGCTCAGGACTGGACCCTAGGGCTATGCATCCTGCATTGCTGCAATATCGCCCCTCCAGCCTCTCCCCTGCCCCTCAACCTGCCTTAGTTGCACTTTCTTACCTACAGCTGGACAGTACTTGTCCATTTCCTGTCCTCCTTCCAGTTACGTCTGTCCATGTCTGGACTCGGCTGGCCGTTCCCTCCAGCCCCTTGCTGGTTACCTTACTCTGAATGTGATGCAGTCAGAGGCACCTGCGGGTTAGCCCAAGGCCCCAAGCCCTAGATTTGGCCCGGGGAGGAGCTTAGGATCCTCGTTTTCTGGGTTTTGGTGATGTGGGAGGAATACCCCCCAGTCCACTGCCCCATTCCTTTTTGCTTCTGGTTTGGAGCTCTGGACAAGGACTTTCGTACTGGTCAGTTTTTAAATAATTATTTAACAGTGTAACTTTTATACCTGCATGACAGCTACAAAGTGCCCAATAAAGAAAGAGGAAGCCATGGTCCCTAAAAAAGAAAAAAAAATCAGGGACTCCAACAGATATAGGTATAGTTATAATTTATAGCAGCATTATTCATAATAGCTAAAACCTGGAAACAACCCAAGTGCCCATAGATGGATAAATGGATAAACAAAATGTGGGTTGTGCATACAATAAAATATTATTCAACCTTAAGGAGAAAGAAAATTCTGGTATATATTACAACACGGATGAGACTTGATGACATTCTGCTAAGTGAATTAATCATATAAATGCTGTATGATTTCACTTATATGAGGTACCTAGAGTTGTGAACTTCAGAGAAACAGAAAGTCAGATGGTATTTGCCATGGGTTTGGAAAAGAGGGTAATGGGGAATTATTGTTTCACAGGTATGGAGTTTCAGTTGGGAAGATAAAAAGAATCCTGCAGGTAGCAGTGGTGGTTGCACAATGTGAATGTACTTAATGTCACTGAACTGTACACTTACAAATGGTTAAAATGGTCAATTTTATGTTATTAATACATATATATATATACACATATATATGTAAAATATATATATTTATATATTAGGCTGAGTGTTGTTGTTGCCCAGGCTGGAGTGCAGTGGTGCTGTCTCAGCTCACTGCAACCTCCGCTTCCTGGGTTCAAGCGATTCTCCTGCCACAGCTTCCCAAGTAGCTGGGATTTTAGGTGTGCACCACGACATCTGGCTAATTTTTTTTTGTCTTTTTAGTAGAGACAGGGTTTTGCCATGTTAACCGGGCTGGTCTCGAAGTCTTGACCTCAAGTGATCTGCCCGCCTTGGCCTCCCAAACTGCTGGGATTACAGGAGTGAGCCACAGCATCTGGCCACATGTATTTTATCACAGTAAAAAAGAAAGTATGTATATACAGGAAAAGAAAGAACTGATGTAAAGGAGCATATTTACCATACTCCCACACTTTCCCTAAGCTCAGACAATTGAGGGTTAACTGAGTAAATGTCAAAGTTTGGTGAATCACAATCACAAGAGTAGTCAAGGTGCGAGGTCTATGCTCTTGGTAGTGAAGGGAGGCATTGGTGGTGCTTCTGCACCCCACAGAGAATCAAGAAGGGTCAGAGTTGCTTAAATGCACAAAATAATAAAATCACATTCAGCAGAAAGAGACATAGAAAGCAAAGGGAACAGAGCTTCCAAGCCAATGTGGATGTTACAGATAATCAGGCAAGACAAGGTAATAGAGAACTACAGAATGTGTTGTCTGGGAAATGTGGCATAGCCTTGATTGGTCACTGATGTGGTGGTGATGTGTAAGCCCAGAGATTATTTAGAAATTGCCCTGGTCCACATAATTGGAGGAGCTTATGTGAGCGGGGTGTTTAGGGTTAGGCTGTTCATGGCGCTTCACACAAAGCTGAATCTATTCTACCATCCAGCTAGTCAAGAGACAGAATGAGAGGTGAGGATCTAGGGCCAGACTGAGAAAATACATTCAGGCAGAGAACACGTGGATACAGACTTCTGAGAAAATGTATAAGACCTTTGTTTTTACACCTACAGGTAAGATTTAGAGGACAAAGGTAACCAAAAGTGTACCAGGCTGTCAGATGAAGCCTCCCTGCTGAGTCCTCCTGCATGGAGAACTAGAATATGAATCTGCCTTGTTGGATCACACAGGAGGCTTGGGGATACCATATCACTCTCTAAGTCTAGGGATGAAAGTCTCTAAGTCCTAGTGTCACTTTTTCAGACTCTAGGTTTTTTGATTTCTTCAACATCTGAATAAAGTGTGAAGAGGACTTAATACAATTGAAAGGTTATATTATGACTTATTTCTCAGGGTTTTTGGTTCCAAGAGTTGCCTTACTCAGTGGTGGTGAATGCATAGCCAGGTGATGATAGAGTCTAGGAAGAGGCTTCTAACACAGTGCTCACCAGTGGCTCAGTGAAGGCTCAGGGTCACATGAAAACACAGTATTACACTGTTCTGAGGGGTAACAAAGAAGAAAAAAAGCTAAGGGGGAGATCACAGTGGATATGGGACCAAAGGCAGGAGAAGCGTTGTGCCCTCTCTATCAATGACCTGCTTCCTTTTATCATTTACCCTTCACATTTGAGTGTTATTTATATCTTTGACTACTGACATTTCAATTATTAATAAATGTTTGGTTTAGATCATATCAGCTTAATTGTGAAGTGAGGTAGATCATAAACTTGCTATCTTCATTCTTTTAGTATTATTGGGTTATACAGGACACTGCAGTTGATCACAAGGATACACAGATGATTCATTTTCCACTCTTTTTTTTCCCTTCAGCGGTCTGAAATTAAGTGACAGGAAATAAACATTTGTCTTGCAACATGATCTGTGGAATAACAGAGGTCTGGCAAGGATGCAGAGAAGAGGGAGTGCTTGTGAGGGCTAGAAGCCTTCCTAGGAAAGGTAGATGTCTTGAATAGTTCTACTCTGTGGAGACGCAGGAAAATGTGAGAGGGCCTGAAGCAGCCAGGCAGATGTTTTAAAACTGCTGCAGCCCTGGCTATGGATAGGAGAGGGAGGTACAGCCTAACCCTCCTGGGGTCTGTAATTCGGGCTGTGACTCCCTATAGACAGTGGGGCACTAGCGATAGAAATGAGATGATCAAATTTATGTATTTTTTGGAGTTGAAAATCATAAAAAGGAATTGTTTAAGGAAAGTTATGAATGATATTAATTTCATGAATTACATGAACCTGCTTCCTCCACTTTCTCTCTCTCCCTCCACATTTTGTGAGGTCAACAGTGATTACACAGATGGAGACAATTCTCTCCCACCTCACTCCCTATCCACCCCAACACTAACTTGGGGAGATAATAGAAGATCATGGTGGAATTAGAATTAAAGAGTTTAACTGAAACAATGAATTTATTTGTAAACATTTATTTATTTACTGTCAATATAATATTATTTTAAAATTATTTTGGTGATCTTTTTATCTGAGAGACAAAATTGATCATTGTGGTTCTTATATTTCCAAATCAGAAGAAAGTTAAAAAAATGCATCTTTCCTTCTTTAGAATTTGAAATTCCCTCTCTTTTGTTGTAGTATCTTCTTCCTTCCTCCTAAATATTATACATGTTATTACATTTATTTTTAATTACTTTTGAAATGTTATCAAATTAATGGTGACATGGTGAAAGTTTTATTTATGAAAAGGGTAACCAGAAAACAAATATAAAAATAATATTCATAGATAATGAAAAACAAAGTTTTGCCAGCTTGGATTCCTTTCTTGAGTATACGTATATATATGTATCTATGTCTATGCACCAGTTTGGTTCCATTAAATGTGTACTATCCATTGAATTATTATAAAAATAAATACTTGTATTATGAAATGGAACATGAGACATTACCATGCCATGAGAATTCTGTACTGTAAAAGCAAAAGTAATATAATCACCAAGGTAAAATAGCTTGAAATTTTATAATATCAGGATTGTTTCGTGATGAGCCTGACAAACAGTAGTTACAGCTAAATATTTTGAATGATTTGATAGGGTGTTCTGTTCTTCTTACAGGGGAATTAGTTCCCGAGAATATTGGGTATGGAAGTTTGATGAGAATATTTGAAAAGTCCTCCCTAAGGTCCAGAAAGAAATATTTTGCAATATCAACAAGGAGCAGTAGCAATAGCAAAACAGCAAAAGAAAACAAAACCAAAAATAAGACAAACTAAAATACTAGTCATATGTAAATTACTTTAAGGCTGAGGTCAAAATTATTATTTTTTTCTACAAGATAATGTATTTTTCTTCCTGGAAATTATGAGTTATATAGGAATACTGCTTTCTGTTCCTTTCTATTGTGCACTCATTAGACAACGGGTTTTGGAGTACCATTACATGTCACTATACATAGGTGCCCTTGTAGAGCCAATAGTTGAATAGAGGACACAGACCAGAAAACAGTAAGTTAGAAATGAAATAAGAATGGAAGAGCTTACACTGGATATAGCAATGAGGAAGTTGCCGTGGTAGGAGCTGCTTCTTTAAAGTATTAGTTATTGTGATGGCTTGAAGAAAGAGGGGTGGAGAGATTTTGGAGACAGACTATAGACATTTTCATTAAGTTTTGCTGTGAAGGTTGAAGGTGAATGGGGTGTGATATGGTTTGGTTCTGTATCTACGCCCAGATCTCATCTTGAATTGTAATCCCCACGTGTCGAAGGGGAACCTGGTGGGAGGTGATTGGAACATGGGGATGGTTTCACCCATGCTGTTCTCATGATAGCAAGTGAGTTCTCATGAGAGCTGATGGCTTTCAAAGTGTTTGGCAGTTCTGCCTTCACTCTCTCTCTCTCCTGCCACCTTGTGAAGAAGGTGCCTGCTTCTGCTTCACCTCTACCATGATTGTAAGTTTTTTGAGGTCTCTCCAGTCATGTGGAACTGTGAGTCAAATAAACCTCTTTTGTTTATAAATTTCACAGTATCAGATAGTATCATTATAGCAGTGTCAAAATGGACTAATACAGGGCTTAAGGGTGAAGGGAAGACTTGTACTTCAAGTTCACATACTAAACAGAGGGAATCAGGGGAAAAAGAGGGGTTGAAGATACAGAAGGAACATTCACAATGTACAGTAATATACTTAGGTGTGGAAATAGGTGAAACCCATGGGCTTGTAAGTATAGGAATTATATACAATTTGAACTTCAAGTAAAGAATGGATTGAGCATCCTTTGCAGTTCTATTTGAGGTAAGACTAGTTGAGGCAGAAGGCAGGCTTTTCTCACCATGTTATTTGCTTCTCTACCCAGTTTTCTGTAATGTGGAATTTGGTAAAGCAAAAACAGCTAAGCCAGGGGCCATTTTTATCACAGACTTTAATAAAGGGTATCACAGCTGGTTCTAAAATAATTACTTACAAAAGCAAAAACAATACATTGGGATAAGAACAGTAAGGAGTTCTTAAGAGGCTTCATATACTTCCAATGATTTCAGTGAAATTTTAAAAAGGTGCAATGATACCTTTGTGGATTAATACAATTTTACAATGTTAATCTGTGTATGTTTTTCTATGTTCTATTTTCCTTTTACTTTGGTCTGTTTAGGAGGCATTTTTCCACTGTGGACACCAGACCAGGTATGGACAGAATGCAAAGGAGACTCCAAGTCTGTCTGGATTTTGTTTTCTGAAAGCTGAAGTCTAGAAGAATTTGAAGAAATGATGGAAGAGTTTAAAAAAAAAAGGTGATTCAAGGGTATAGACAAAATATGTTGAACACATTGTACTGTAGAGTGGTGTTTCCCTTCCACACTGGAAAAATTTCCCCATTATTTAGAAGTTTGGGGAAGGAGCTGAGGAAGAAATTTCAAGGTAGTGAGATTTGCAACAATCTGCTCTTTGTATCAATTAGCATTGCTGGAGAGTTTGCAAGATCAAAGGGTAGAATGGCTTGGCAGGAGGGACCAAGAGCAGTGTCAACAAAGATTCCTATGGCCCCTAAGCATGGCTTAGAAGCAGCAGAACTATTAGATCCGGCTGGGTCATGCAGCAGAAACAAGAGATAGCTCAACACAAATCTGTGACCTACCTCCTTAAATGACTTGGTACCAGTTTGTTTCAAAGTCACTAGCTGAGTTTTGCTCAATGCGATCTTACAGTTTCAGAAGGGAGATTTATTTTCACTTTGGTGAGTTTTGAAGGAAGATGAGGGCAAGCTCCACGGAGAGGCATAGACATAAAGAAGTGGAGAATCAAAACCGTATGGAGGCGGCTCTCCCCAAAACTTTGTAAATCTTTAACCAGTACATTTATACTGACAGTTTTTACTTTGGACTCACTTTAATATAGATTTATGATTCACTAGCACAGAAAGTAACCCATACTCAAGATACATGACCAACTTTCTAGGTACTGGCTGCTAAACAGATGAGTCCATGCAGCTTCTTTATAAAGAATTTAAAAACTGAAAAAAAAAAAAAAACACAAACAACCCTGAAAATGTGTGTATGTAGTAAGCTTCAATAAAAATGGGATCAGTATTATTGTTTATTTCAGTGTTAAGGTAAAAGAACCCAGTAATAATAAGTGTTTTTCATATGTTTCTTTGTCATTCTCACAACAAATATATGAGAGAAGAATGATGCTTGAAAGGTATGGAACTTTCTGAGGTAAGGCAACTATTAGGTTGTAGAATTGGGTTTTGAATGCAGTGCAGATTTCTCTCTTTCTTTCTCCTGTGTTCTTTCTCACCCTTGTTTCCACTAGTGATTCTACCTTCTTTCTACAGCGGCAATATTTATTTTAACAAATGTACATAATTTATAGACCATGCTAATTTTTTTTGTCTTTAAAGTAGTAACTTTGTGTGAATATTCCAATAATATTACTTTTTACAAAACAAATTTAGAGCACCCTCAGGATTTGCCTTTAAAGGCAGATTATGAGGCCTGGAAGAAGAGTTTTATTTCATGTTTTCTCACATCATACGTGTCTAAAATTGACAATGAATTGGTTACTGACAATTAGCATAAAGTTTGGTATTGGATAACTAGTGGGTAATTTAAAAACATTCTCAATGGATAAAAGATATCACATCTCCATTGACTTTAGGGAAAAAAGTATGTTAAGAGCTCTTAAGGCTATTTAAGAAAAAGACTTGAAGTGTGATATCATAGCATTTCAGAACTGAAACAGATCTTTGTCCATCTTCCTTTTTCAGCCCAAAGATACTTTCAAGTGGTTTAAAGATAACATACAGATTATTACATTAGAAACACAAAGTTATTCAAGAAAATGTTCACCAAAAATATTTTTTTCTGTTTTTACATATTCGTAAGACATTTAATTCCAAGAAGGAGATTTAATGTCTACCACTAGAGCGAATGAAACAGTGAAGACAGATTTCTACTTAATCCCCCTGAAATAAAGAAAGCTAATTTTTAAGGCTTAATATGACAATGAAGAGTAAGAATTTCACAAAATCCAGGTGGATAAATGATATCGATATTATATCCTTAAAAGTATGTATGTACTTTCCCTAAATGTGTTTTAATTTTATTTAAAAATATAAATAAGGATTTAAATATTCTGGATTTTAATAATTGTTCTTTACTATTATTTTTATGATGTAGAAATATTGCCTGTGTTATAATGTCCTATAACTGAGTTAAAAGCCTGTTTGTATTATCTGTCCAACAGCTTTATAATAAATAGTTCTAAAATTTTGACAGTTGTTCATGGTAAAACTTCAATTTTCTTTTAACTAAAGACTTTTTACTGGATCAGTAAAACTAAAGATTCTTTTATGCCACGTGTAAAAATCTATGTTGTGGGAATAGTATTATTGATTTGCTGTGTAAAATATATTATAACCAAAAATTGCTTTGAACAATAAATGTAAATCTTTTTATTTTCTAAAAATGTATATTAAATCAAATGTTTGAGGCATGAAAATCTAAATTATTATTTTATCCCATGAGATAAATTGTTTTCAAATATCTTCACAACATTTATTATTGCCTAGAATTAAATATATATTTAAAAAGTTAGTTATAAAAATATATTGCTAAATGGTTTATTTAATTAGCCTAACGAAGAAAATATTCTCCAACAAAGGATTCTTTCTTTAAATAGCCCTTTAAATGACACATGGGTTTTTAGTTTTTAATAATACCCTTTTCCCCAAATGTGCAAACTTTCTGAAACAACACTATTTTAAAAGTACATTGATTATAATATTATTTGAGTAGATTGCAGCTTTCTGGGGCCAGAAAATACATCTTATTCATCCTAGTATTTTTAGCTCTTAGTACAATTCCTAGGACTTGGCTTATTTAACCAATCTGTTGAATAAATCAATGAATGATATGTTTTTCCATGTAAAGCATTTTTAGAATATCTGCAGCTTTTAAAATTATTGTATTTTTATTGCTTAAATAGAAACACAGCTTTTGAGTTTCCTAATGCAAGTCCAATTGTTTAAAAATACATCAGCAGTTAAAAAATTAATCAAGAAGTTATTTATTGGCTACTCATATAAAAATGAAATACAAGTTACAATACCTAAAAAATTTATCTACTTGAGGAGATATTGAATAATGACAATGATTAGTAAAGACATACTCATTTAAATTTCTTAAACCCTTGAAACGAGGCATGAAATTTAGGTTTCATGAGGTAAGCAATAAAATCAATTTTAAGTTTTTTTTTTTTTTTTTTTTTTGCTACAGGGTCTTGCTCTATCACCCAGGCTGGAGGGCAGTGCCATGATCATAGCTCACAGCAATCTCCAACTCCCGTGCTCAGGTGATCATCCATTCACCCTCCTGAGTAGCTGGGACTAACTGTTTTCTTGTTTTTGTTTTGTAGGGTCTCACTATGTTGCCCAGGATGTTCACAAACTCTTGGCCTCAAGCGAACCTCTGCCTCGGTCTCCCAAAGTGTTGAGATTGCAGGCATGAGCCATCATGCTGGGAAATTTTAGGTCTTAATCAAGCGTTTAAGTATGATAAACTCAGGATTTAGAATAAATGAATCTCACTCCATTATAAGAAACCACTGAATGATAAGGCTGAAGACAGGGGGATCAACTGGAGGCTGTTGCTATAATTCAGTGTGAGCTCTATGGTAGAAATGTGAATGTAGAGAGATGTAAATAGAAGATATTTAGCAGAAAGTATTGATGAGACTAAGCATAGCCAAAGAGGATGTTGAAATCAAAATTTCAAGCTGATCTGGTGGCATAACCTTGAACAATTAAGGCATGAAGGAGAAGAGCTTGGAAAATTTGATGTCTTGTTTTAATCTCATTAAATTTGAAATGACAGTAAAGAATCAAAACATGCAATGAAAATATTTTTAAAAAATCAGCAGGCCATTTAGAAGTGTGAATGATAATGCAGAGCTAAATATATATTTTTGAACATAACCAGCAATGTAGCAGTAATTGAATTTATGCCAGGGTAGCTTGCTGGCAGATTATGTTAAGGTGGAAGAAGAGAGTCACACTGAACTCTTCAAACTGAAAATGAGAATAGGAAAATAAGCTGCCTGAGAATAAATAAAGGAAATTCAAAGAAGGAAGAAGAAACCAGATTAAAGTAGGAGATGCAGAGAGTAGAGAGGGTTTCAAGAAAGAGATACAGCTGTGGCAACGATGTGCAGGAACCCACACCTATTATCAGCTCAAGAAAACAGATTCTTAAGTTTTCAGGAATTTTATGCATCACTTTTTAAGCACAGCAATTAAATAAATTAAATTAATTATATACGTTTCCAAGTAAATAAAACATGTTAACAACTAAGTTAATAAATACTCAAAAACTCATCAATTTCTAATTATTTTACTACCTGTTCCTATTACCCATACTCCTTAGGTTATTTATATATGTTATTTATGATGTGGAAATACTAGATAATGGTGTTTTATTTCCCATCTCTTTCTAATTTGGCATGCGATGATGTTACGTTGCTAACTTAAAATTAGTAATGGTGAGAATATTTGCACCATGAAAATGGCACATGCTAAAAATCAGGCCCGATTTGTGGTTGTGTTAATTATCTAAGTATAAGAGGTGACCAACAGTAGCCCTTGGGCAAAATCCAGCTCACTGCTTGTTTTGGTACATAAAGTTTTGTTGGAAGACAGACACACCCATTTGTTTACATTGTCCATAGATACTTTTAGATTACAAACGCAGAAAGAAGTAATTGTAGCAGAGACTACCTATCCTGTAAGGCCTTACTATTTACTATCTGAGTGTAGAAAAATTTCTCTACTCTTGAGCTCACATAAGAAAGTGGTGGAAAACATATTAATACTGCAGATTAAACTTAAAAATGTGCTGCATGTACAGGTGTTACATTGTGAAGACCATAAAATTTGAGAAAATTATTTTAGTATTTGAAAACTATTACCTGATTCAGCAAATGTTGCTCACACCACTGACAGATATGTAAAGTTCTGACATATCTCTGTTTTGTTATTTTTATTGTATTCAATAACATAAGTAAAAATGTCGACTGATACCTACCTTAGAAATAAACTCATTTGTCAATTTCAAATATAGATTGATTATAGATACAAGAGTTTAGAAAGAATCCACAAAAATATTCTGTGAGAACTAATTAGCTACACGAAATTTTCAGTAAAGAATATGGTAAATTGTATAACACATATCCTTCATGTCAGTACCTTTACCATAAACTTAGTTACATATATACATACATTTCTTTTTATTTAGAGAGCAGGTTGTTAACCAGCACACTATTACACAACAGTTTCAGAACTAATGAAGTTTTGAAAAAAGGTAAAAATGGAAAAGGTTGTTACATTTAATAAGTACTAGAATACCTGTCATTTGGAAAACTATCAATCAGTTAAAAAATTCTCAGAGCAATTAACTCACATTTTTAATCTATTTTTTTCTTTCATTCATTTAATAGACGTTTAATCAATTACTTGCTATATTAGTCTATTCTCACATTGCTATAAATAAATACCCGAGACTGAGTAATTTATAAAGAAAAATGGTTGGGCTCATGGTTCTGCAGGTTGTAAAGGAAATATAGTGGCTTCTGCTTCTGGGGATTGGAAGCCTCAGGCTTCCAATCATGGTGGAAGGCAAATGGGGAGCAACATCTCTTACTTGGAGGGATAAGAAACAAGAGTGAGGGTGGAGGTGACACACGCTTTTAAACTGCCAGATCTTGTGAGAACTCACTCACTATCATGAGAATAGCACCAAGTTGATGGTGCTACACTATTCATGAGAAATGCCTTCACAATCCAATCACCTCCCACTAGGCTCCACCTCCAACACTGGGGAGTACAATTTGATATGAGATTTGGGCAGGGACACAGATCCAAACCATGTTACTTGCTATCTACTAAACATGATGCTAAGTGATAGATATACTTTGAAGAATTCAGTAGAGACATAGCTTGTATTTTAGAGTTTATAATTTGATATAGAATGCCAATGATACAGGAGTAAATACATAAACAAACATACAGTTACAAAATTATATGAACAGACTATAGAGTCAGTGGATAATAGAGCTGAGGTGGAATTGACCTTTTTGGTCAGTGTATCTGGGAAGGCCTCTCTGAGTAAGTGCTATTTCAGCTGCAGCAGAGACTCGGGCTAGGGCTATTGTGCCTGGCCAAAGGAAAAGTCTGTACAAACATCCTGAGGATCTAATTTTTTTTTAAAAAAATTATTCTTTTGCAATAAAAAGGTAACCACTTTGAATTACTTCATTAATTGCAAAAGAAACTACATTTTATATATTATTTGGGATATAGGCAGTTACTTTCCTCTAAAAGCCTCAAAGTTCATCATGTGTGGAAGTTAATTTCCCAAGTTTCCTTGTAAAACTAGTGTGGCATTCTCTGTATGTTTACATATGACCTTCATTAAGGCTAAGAATTTCTTCATTTAGATTTTGGCTTTATAGAACGCTAATATTGGGTTTCCCAATACTTTATGTCAAAGGGGATAATTCTTTTTCTTTCTTCACTTATGTGTGCCTGAATCTCTAAGTGATACTTAGGCTCAGCGGGCATTTACACTCTTATCCAATCTGAATTTTTTTCCCTTAATTCATCAGACCTTAAGAGCCAGCATATGGCTTGTTCTTTAGTGTCTTAAAAGCACTGGGTAAATTTAGTATTATTGTGGAACTCTACCTTGTGAGAAAAGATTAATTGAGTTTTCTCATCTTCATTTATTCTTGTTACTTTTTTTTTTTAACAGAAAGCTAAGTCAGGTATAAGAAGTTGTTCAAGTGATAAAGATTAGAGATAAAAATTATGAATATTTTGAAGTGTCAACTGAAATCTCACTGTCACTTCCCCCTTTTCTTGCCTGCTTTTATTCCCCCACATTTAAACTTCTTTCATTTTCTTTTCCTGGGCCTTGAAACCCTTCTTTCCAGTGCAGGCATCTAGAAATTAGTCATGGGATGTATGAAAGGAAAATATCTTGGGCCCCCAAATCACTAGGCTAAAGGGAAAAGTCAAGCTAGGAACTGCTTAGGGCAAACCTGCCTCTCATTCTATTTAAAGTCACTCCTCTGCTCACTGAGATGAGTGCATATCTGGCTGCCTCCTTTGGAGAGGCTAATCAGAAACTCAAAAGAATGCAACCATTTGTCTCTTTTCTACTTAGGACCAGGAAGCCCCCTTCCTACTTGGAGTCTTCCCTAACTCTGCTTCGAGTTGTCCCGCCTTTCTAGACCAAACCAATGTTCATCTTGCATATGCTGATTGATGTCTCATGTCTCCCTAGAATGTATAAAACTAAACTGTGCCCTGACCACCTTGGGCACATGTTGTCATGACCTGCTGAGTCTGTGTCACAGGTGTGCGTCCTCAACTTTGGCAAAATAAACTTTCTAAATTAACTTAGACTTCTCTCAGATTTTCAAGGTTCACAGATGTATACAAAAAACTCGGTGGGGGTAGAACCCAAGGAAAAAGTGTCAAATCCTTGGCTTTTAAACTCAAAATCTTCACTTCTTATGCAAGAAAAAAATATTTACAAAGAATATTTGTTGTCCAGTTCTGAACTCTCCACTCCTGTCAAGAGCTCCTCTGAACTGTGGAGGGGAATAGAAGAAGAGAGGAAACAAAATGGTTAAACCTGCTTAGGGGTTTTCCTCTATTCTGTACCCAAAGCAGATAAAGGGGGCATTGATTAACAAAAAAATCCCAAGAGAAGTTGGGATATCCAAAAGCAGAGGAAACCAGTTTTGGGAATTCCTCAGACTCTACTCTTGTAGGTATTTCCTATGTTGACAAGGGCTTGAGTCCTGATGGCATTTTGCGGTGTCCAGGATAATAAAGTCCTGATAAAGATTTCAGGTTTGGCCGGGCATGGTGGCTTAGGTCTGTAATTTTAGTGCTTTGGGAGGCCAAGGTAAGAGGATTGCTTGAGGTCAGGAGTTGGAAATCAGCCTGCATGACATAACAAGACCCCCATTTCTAGCAAAATTTAAAAGAATTTTGCTAGACGTGGTGATGTACAATTGTAGCCCTAGCTACTCAGAGGGCTGAGCTGGGAGGATAGCTTGAGCCCAGGAGTTTGAGGTTATACTGAGCTAGGATTGTACCACTGCAATCCAGCCTGGGTGACAGAGTGAGATCCTGTCTTTAAGAACAAAAAAAAAGAGTTAGGGGTTTTTGGACTCCAGAGAAACATAGAAACATAGCTAAAACTTTCCAGTGCCTTCAAAGAGGGGGCATAATTGGAAAGAACCAGTAGACTAAACTGATTTCTCAGTTTTGGTTGTTTGATGCTATTGCAGATCACAGAGTAATAATACACATGTCAGAGACTGGCAATAGGAATAGATGCAAGAACAGAGGCCAGGAAAGGAAGAAGCCATCTCAACAAATGACCATGTATTTCAGAGGGAAGTCACAGACAGACATCCTCTCCTGGCCTCCTTCCTCTCCATATAAGCCCCTGAAAAAATTAGGTACCAGGTTGAGAGAAAGAAAAAGGGACATTTTGAATGAAAAACATTTAAACTTGAAATGAACAAGAATAGCACGGAATGACTAAAATTCTTTTTTCTGTGATCAGATAGGATGGGGCTTACCGTTCATTTGTTCAACATATTTATTGACCAATTGCTATGAGCCAGCCACTGTTCTGGATACTTGAGACATACTGAGGACAGAAGGCTGTGACCTCATGAATCTTGTATTCTGGCAGGGCGACACAGGAAAGAGAGTGGGAAAGTTGCAGTATTACATATGAGGGTCAAAATCGGCCTCATTTTGGAGGTAAGATTAAGCAGACTCTTCATAGAGGTGAGGTGGTTAGCTAATCTGGGATTTGGAGAAAGAGCATTCCAGGTGAGAGGGAACAGGTGGAGTCAAAGCCCTAGGGCAAAAGCACACTAGGCACATTTAAGGGAAAGAAGACTAGGGGATTAGTAGTAGTAGAAGAGGACACAGAGGTAATGGGGGCACATCTTTGTGGCTTGCAGCTCATTTGACGGAATTTGGCTGTTATTTTGGGTAGAACATAACTCCATCTGAGTGTTAATAAAGGGAGAATGATCTGTTTTGCCTTTGTAAAGGATCATTCTGTCTGCTGCCATGAATGTAATAGACCAAGGGGACAAAATGGTTACAATGAGATCAGTTAGGAGGTTATTGCTACAACCCTTGCAAGAGATGATAATAGCTACAGTGTAAGTGAGCAAAGTGGTCAGATTTTGGTTTTATTTTAAAGGTGGAGACAACACATTTTCCTACGGGACTGGATAAAGGATATGAAAGAAAGGAGAAGTCAAGAGAACTTCAAAGTTTTCTGTCTGGAGTTACTGAAAGAATGTAGTTGAGATCCCCTGAGATGAGGAAGGTTGGCTGTGGGGCAGGTTGGGGTTGGAGAAAAGATCAGGAGACTAATCTTGAGCATGTTAACTTTGGAACATCCAATTGGAAATTAAGAAGTTTTCAGCATAGAGATTTAAAGTCATGGTCCGAACTGAGGGCTGGTTTCCCATTAATATGTTTGAATAACCGACCATCTTCCAAATAACAACCATAAGTTCTAGATAAAATACCAAAAGAATGACTCAAAGGCTATGGGAGTTTATAAGCCAGGCCGATTATGGAGGAAAATTAAAATGTGTAAAAAGCATTGGGCGAGATTCTCATTTTGTAGATTTTATCCTGAACGTCATCTTCAGTAGTTTCTGCAAAGAGTCTCTAAACTCTAGTGGAAAACCTCAAAGTTTTTTGGCCTGAAGAATTAGAAGACAAAATTTGGGGCAACCATGGATAGTAGAAAGTGAATGGGAAGCAGAGAGCCGGAAGAGGGAGGCCTAATCTCTGTGAATAAACGCTATCAAGTCTCTGGCTGACACACCATTCATATGTGGGAAAGACTTTGGCTAAGAACAACAAAAGTGAACTGACATTTGAGCTACCTCTAGAGAGAAAGATTTTGCAGTTTGAGTCCAATTAAATTAACTAATAAAACAAAAATTCCATTCTTTGGAGGAATAAAGTAGAATATAGAGTCTCTACAACATAACATTTGCAATGTTCTGAATATAATCTTAACGTATGAAAAAATCAGGAAAATGTGACCATTCTCAAGGGAAATAAGCAGTGGAGGCCAACCCTTAGATGACTCATTGTTGGAATTAGTAGGCAAGGATTTTAAAGTTGCCGTTTTAACTGTGCTTGTATTAGTCTGTTCTCACGCTGCTAATAAAGACATACCTGAGACTGGGTAACTTATAAAGCAAAGAGGTTTAATTCACACACAGTTCCAGTTGGCTGAGGAGTCCTCACAATCATGGTGAAAGGCAAATGAGGAGCAAAGTCATGTCTTACATGTGGCAGGCAAGAAAGCTTGTGCAGGAGAACTCCCCTTTATAAAACCATTCAATCTTGTGAGATTTATTCACTATTACTAGAACAACATGGGAAAAACTCACCCCCATGATTCAATTACCTCCCACTTGGTCCCTCCCATGACACATGGGGATTATAAAAACTCAAGGTGAGATTTGGATGGGGACACAGAAGCAAACCATATCATTCCACTTCTGGCCCCTCCCAAATCTCATGTCTTCACATTTCAAAACCAATCATGCCTTCCAATAGTTCCCCAAAGTTTTAACTCATTCCAGAATTAACCCAAAAGTCCACGTCCAAAGTCTCATCTGAGACAAGGCAAGTTTCTTCTGATTTTGAACCTGAAAAATCAAAAACAAGTTAGTTACTTCCTAGATACAATGGGGGTATAGGCATTGAGTAAATACAGCTGTTCCAAATGGGAGAAATTAGTGAAAATGAAGGGGCTGCAGGCCCCATGTAAGTCTGAAATCCAGCAGGACAGTCAAATCTTAAAGCTCCAAAGTGATCTCCTTTGACTCCATGTCTCATATCTAGGTCACACTGATGTGAGAGGTGGGCTCCCATGGCTTGGTCAGCTCTGCCACTGTGGCTTTGCAGGGTACAGCCTCCCTCCTTGCTGCTTTCTTGGGCTGGCATTGAGTGTCTGTTGCTTTTCCAAACCCACAGTGCAAGCTGTTGGTGAATCTACTATTCTGGGGTCTGGAGGATGGTGGCTTTCTTCTCATACCTCCACTGGGCTGTGCCCCAGTGGGGACTTTGTGTGAGTGTTCCAATACCACATTTCCCTTCTGCACTGCACTAGCAGAGGTTCTCCATGAGGGCTCTGTCCCTGCAGCACACCTCTGCCTGGACATCCAGGCATTTCCATACATCCTCTGAAATCTAGGTGGAGATTCCCAAACCTCAATTCTTGACTTCTGTGCACCTGCAGGCTCAACACCATGTGGAACTGCCAAGATTTGGGGCTTGCACCCTCTGAAACCATGGCCTGAGCTGTACCTTGGCCATTTTTAGACATTACTGGAGCAGTTGGGACACAGAGCACCAAGTCCCTAGGCTGCATACAGCAGGGCAGCCGGTGGGGGGGCCTTGGACCCAACCTCAGGAAATTACTTTTCCCTCCTAGGCTTCCAGGCCTGTGATGGGAGGGGCTGCTATGAAGGTCTCTGATATGCCCTGGAGACATTTTCCCCATTGTCTTGGTGATTAACACTGCACTCCTCATTACTTATGCAAATTTCTGCAGCCAGCTTAAATTTCTTCTCAGAAAATGCTTTTTTTTTTCTGTCATATCATCAGGCTGCAAATTTTCCAAACTTCTATGTTCTGCTTCCTCTTGAATGTTTGCTGATTAAAAATTTCTCCTGCCAGATACCCCAAATTATCTCTCTCAAATTCAAAGTTCCATATATCTCTAAGGCAGGGGCAAAATGCCACCAGTCTTTGCTAAAGCACAGCAAGAGTCACCTTTGCTCCAGTTCCCAACAAGTCCATATCACTATCAGCATTTTTGTCAAAGCCATTCAACAAGTCTTTAGGAAGTTCCAAACTTTCCCACATCTTCCTGTCTTCTGAGCTCGTCTAGTCTCCAGGAAGTTCCAAACTTTCCCACATTTTTCTGTCTTCTTCTGAGCCCTCCAAACTGTTCCAACTTCTGCCTGCTACCCAGTTCTAAAGTCGCTTCCATAAAACAAAGTCACATCTTGCATGGCAGTAGGCAAGAAAGCATGTGCAGGGGAACTCCTCTTTATAAAACCATCCGATCTTGTAAGACTTATTTACTATTACAAGAAGAGCATGAGAAAAACCCACCCTCATGATTCAGTTACCTCCCTTGGGTCCCTCCCACAACATGTGGGGATTATTACAACTCAAGGTGAGATTTGGAGTTAAACCATATCAGTGCTCAATGAGGAAAACTAAAGATGCCTATAATGGATGAATATATAGAAATTCTCAACAGAAAAACAGAAAACATAAAAAAGAACCAAATGAAATTTCTGTAACTAAGAAACACAGCATCTGAATTAAAGAATTCAATGGGTAGGCTTAACAGTAGCATGGAGATAAATAGGAAAGAGTCAGTGTACTTTAAGAAAGATCAAAAGAAATTATCCAATCTGGGAAAGCTAGAAAAAAAAGATTCAGAAATTTGAACAGAAATTTAAGAATCTAACATTAAAAGGTCCAACACAACTGTAATTGGAGTCCAGAAGAGCAGAAAGAGAATGAGCCAGAAAAATTAGTTGAAATAAAAACATTTCTCTGATTTGGTGAAAGACTCAATATTATAGATTCAAAGACCTAAGCAAACGCAGATCAAGGTAAACATAATGCAAACTATGCCTGATCTCATTATAGTCAAACTTTTGGAAACCAAAGGTAAAGAGAAAATCTTGAAAGCAGCAAGAGAAAAGTGACTCATTACCTACAGGGAAACAATGATTCACAAAGCCACTGACTTCTAATTAGAAACCATAGACACCCGAAGATTTTGGAATAATGTCTTTAAAGTGCTAACATAAGTCATGGAACGAGGTAAGATCACTAAGGGAGGAGATAGAGAAGAACTGAGTAATTACATAGATGTGATCAGACAGAAAAGAAAGCCCAAGAATGGGAGGTGTCCTGGAAAATGTATCTAAAAGGAGAGAATGATCAAATGTGTCAAATGCTGCTATTGGACCAAGGGCAGAACACTGACCATTGGATTGAGCAATGCAGAAGTAAATAATAATTGTGGCAGGAACAGTTTTGGTGGAATGGCTTAAAGCTTGGTTGCAGTGAGTTTAGGAGAAAATGAGAAAAAAAATTGGAAATAATAAGTAAAGGCAACTCAAAGAATTTTACTTTGCATAGGGAGAAATGAAATGGAGTACTAGTCAATGTAGAGGTAGGATCAAGAGAAGATTTTGTTTTGTTAGCATGCTAATTAGCATAATCCAGTAAACAGCAAGACAAAAGTGAAAATACAGGATAAAAAGGGAGAATTACCCAGTTTATCAGGTCTGCAGAAGAAAAGAAAACAGCCAGTTGAAATAGAATAAAAAAATTGTACACAAAAATATGTAATTTGAATTATCATTTCCCCTCTATATTGCACAAAGTCCTTTGCTTCCTAGCCTTTACTATTTACAACTTGGTCATTTTTCAATGTAATATTTGAAAAGTATGTCTATTGAAAATTATGTAAAATTTTATGATTTTGGAGAGTAGTAACTGATTTGTTCTTTTGTGATTTTAATTTGTGAACATTCTTTAAACAGTGAATAGGATCTATTTCAAAAACTATTTTTTTAGTTTTAAAAAGCTCAGAATGCATTTTTCTGATAATATTTTTATTATATGAAGTAGTTTATTCTGGTTAGTTCATAAAATTGTATAAAGTAGCTAAATTGTATTACTGATTATCTGGGAAGTTTCAGGTCTTCAGATTTTTATTTCTATGGTGAAACTTATTCTAATTTCCAACCCAAGATTCTGGAACACATCTCCCATTATGAAGTGGGCCTCAGGATGGGAGCGGAAACAGAGCCTCTTGTTCACACTCCACACCCTCATTTTCCAGCAGTGAGGGTAGACTATTAAGGCTCTCATGTCATCAAGGATCGAGGCAATGGGTTAATGGAGACTCTAGACATTTGTTTCCTCACCAGTGAAAATTAAATGAAGACCCAGGAATCACTACAGCTATAGGGATGAGAAGGACATTTCAGCAGCTAGAGTGTGGTGGTAAGTTCCTGGCTACATGGCTGCTTCTGTACAAGAGTGTGCTAAAGTCCTTCTGTGTTGTATAAGCTTATGTGTGCATATGTATGTATGAGCAAATTGGTGGGCTATTTTTTTCAGTATATGCTGAAGTCTTGTTAACCTGTAAACCCAACATCTAAAAAATGTCAGTGAATAAACTTTTGTTCAGATATCTGCTACTAAGAGGTGGCTGTAAATAAACTAAAAGCAGATTTATTCCCACTTATGCTTTATTTATTTTTTTAATTTAATTTTTAAAATTTATTATTATGGGTACATAATAGTTGTCTGTATGTATGCGGTACATGTGATGTTTAGATGCAGGCATACAATGTGTAATGTTCAAACCAGGGTAATTGGGGTAGCCATTGTCTCAAACCATTATTATTATTTTAGAACATTCTAATTCCACTCTTTCAATTATTTAAAAATACACATTAAATTAGTGTTAACTATAGTCATTCTATTGTGCTATAGAACACTAGATCTTATTTCTTCTATTGACTGTATTTTCATACCCATTAACAATCCTCACTTTATCCCCCAGTTCCCATTACCCTTCCCAGCCTCTGGTAACCATCATTCCACTCCATCTTCATGAGTTCATTTTTTTTTTAGCTCCCATATTTGTGTGATAATATCTTTCTGTGCCTGACTAATTTCACTTAACATAATGTCCTCCAGTTCTATCCATGTTGCAAATGACATGACTTCATTCCTTTTTATGGCTGAATAACATTCCATTGTGTATATGTGCCACATTTTCTTGATCTATTTGTCCACTGATGAACACATAGGTTGTTTCCACAGCTTGGCTATTGTGAGTAGTGCTGTAATAAACATGGGAGTGCAGATACCTCTTTGATATGTTGATTTCTTTTCTTTAAGCTTTATACCCAGCACTCACATATATTTTAAGGTATGTACAGGAAAAGTCCATTTCCGATGCATTCTGTACCTACAAGATTGTTCAGTGATAACTGGTGTACGTAAGTAATGATGACACTTGGGACAGGAAAAGAATTCTGAAGAAAATTCTGAATCATTCAAAGCTAAATTATTTTCAGCATAGATTTAATAAGTACTCTTTGTAAATCTTTGAACATTGGCAAACCATATAATTTTTGTGTGAAAAAATGTTAACCAGAGCAGCAATTATGGGGGTGAGAACCTATGGTTGTGTCCTTAAGTGGAGAGACACCTTTTTAAGACCTATTGAAGTAGTTTTTGTTTTCTTTTCATTGTTGCTCTTCTGGGTCATTATTATAACTGTCTCCATTCACAATTTTCTACCTATCTAAAATTGTAAAGCTAATGTTTTTAGATATGCATTGGTCCTTAAGAACTGGATGTACAGTTGCCTATTTGCGAGGACACGGAATGACTTTAAACTTCCTGGATAAAATATTTTCTATATGTACCAAGAAAGAGCTTGGGTTTAAAATGTTTAGAGTCATTGTGATTATGACTTGTTGAGAGTATGCTTATAGCTAAGTAATTTTCTTTCCTTTTTTCAAAAGAAATGGGTACGGAGGTGTATATTCTGAGTCTTACAGGGTCTTAATTGCCTGCCATGAGGTAGTATTTAGGAGCATGATTAAATTGGTTAAGACACATCTAGAGAAAGGAAACCTCCAAGAAGGAATGTACTTGTTAACACTGCTTCTGTGATTGAATTTAGGATTTATAGCACTTAAAATTTTTAAAAAATTGCCTGTAGTTTATGTACACGGTGTTAGAGATGAACTGAATTATTCGTAATGTATATTTTATGCTAATTCACTGGTAAGTTTCTCAAATAATAGTTATTTAAAATTCCTCACTTTTCAGAAACTGCGTATTCTTTAGTACCAAGATCTCTCCCCTGTCATTGTGTTCTTCTAAGATATCACTGGTGCTGTGATCGGGAGCTATTTGTTCAATCATGACCTGTGGGGCTTTCTTAACCTCTTATAAACTTAAGTGCCAATCACTAGGCTGGATATAATTACACTTTGGTGATTTCTTTGAGCTTTAAGGGCTAATGAATAGCCTCAAGTATTTAAATAACTGCTTGAACTTTCTTAATTGATACAAACTGTCTGTAATAATTCCACTTAGTCTGGTATGCCACCTGAACAGCTTTATCTTGGGTTTACATACTTAATTGATAGTGTTCAATGGTACATGATATTTATATGAGCCTTTGTCTTACTGAACTGCATGTGAGATAACCATTCTAAGTCATATTTTAAAGCTGTATTCCAACTTCATAAACAAATACATTAGAATCAATGTTTGTGTTCCAGGCCTGAACAAATATTATTTTATGTCAAATTTTGTTAGTCTTTTGTAAACATACTAAAACATATGCATCCAAATTATGGTTCATATTTTTTCCACGTTTCAAATTTATGCAAATGCATATTTACTTTTCCATTAAAATTCAAGTTTTTATGTGAAATAATATGAAAATGTTACAAAATAATTGAATTTATAAGTATTTGAAGACTTTTATTTTCATTTTAGGGTTTTATTGCTATTCTATATAAAAAATAATCCAGATATATCTGGAGGAATAATTGGGTTCAGAGGCTATTTTCTTTCAAAAACCAAAATCATAAAATGTACAATAAATATTGACATGAATCATTATTATTATATGCATTTTTATAATAGAAATTGTAAAGGTAAAAATGATTATAAACAAGAAGTGAATTTTAAAATGTCTCATTGAGAATTAACCTTAGCATCCTAGATTTAGACTAGCTAGATATTTCTGTGTATGAATTCTTGTTCTAAAATGTGCCTGACATGTAACTTTAGGTAAGTTATGAGACTTCTGTGAGCAGCTGTTTCCTCATCTGTAAGATGGAAAATAATGATGAAGACAAGAATAATTATGTTAAACAGTAAACATTTCTTGATATTTCATGGATACTCAATAAATGCTATCTCATTATTATTCCCACAGGAAAAAAAAACTCTTACTACTTTTAGTTTCACTTTGATTGTATCCAGAATTATGATCCAGATTTGGCTTTAGATGACCTTGAACTATTTTCAGACACAAAATTATGCTCCTGAAGTATTAATATCTGATAACATTAATGCTATTTAAAATAAACTTTCGGAGAATCTGAAGGGAATTCATTTTTCTGAAAAGTAACTAGTTGAGAAAGTCAAAATGTATTTGAATGTATACATTTTGGTATGTTTGAAAACAATGGTGATGGTCTATAATCACTCATATATTGATGTGTTTTTACTTAGTGTTTTGTCTCTTGATAAGCAGAGGATTATAGAAAATTAAATGTCAATAGGTATTATTAAATCTAAGTCATGAAACGGATCATTCCCAGATTGCTGACATATATACTAGTATAAATTTTTTTAAGTGTTTTTGTTTGATGGTTTTTATTTGTATGTGTGTATGTCTTTTTTTAGTGTTAGCAAGTAGTCTGGTATAGTAAATAATATTCAAAACAAATCTTTGCTACAATATTGTATAGGTATATGCCTTCAGAGTTCGGTATGACTATTAAGAAATGCTTCAGAATTCAGGAACTTATATATTCTGTTACATCAAAGTTAGCCTAAAGCTGCCTCCTTACATATTAAGTTTGGCCTAAAAGCTTTTCTGTACATCGTGAATTATAGCAAGTCGGGGTGTAAACCTATCATGGCCCACACCTGTGCCAATCACTGAGTTTTGGCCAGTGAAATGTAGCCAGCTGTTTGAACCATGTTCAAATAAGGCAAATGCTGAGCTGTAACCAATCCATCTGTTTCTGTGTCTCACTTCCATTTTCTGTAGGTCACTTTCCTTTTGCTGTCCATAAATCTTCCTCCACCATGTGGCTGTTGCTGGTGTCTCTCTTGAATCTGTTGTGATTCTGAGGTCTGCCCGGTTGATGGATCATTTATTGGTCAATTAAACTCCTTTAAATGTAATTCAGCTGAAGTTTTCTTTTAGCAATACTCAGAACTTTTTTTGTCAAAAAGAAAGCAAGGGATTTGCACATGTCTATATTGTCAGAAAAAAAAATAAAAGGATCTGAGCAAGGTTAAAAAAAAAAAACCCAAAATGCAAAACTGTATATACATGACTCTACCACCTCCATTACTCCTTGGAAACAAATTAATACTTTTGTAGGTTGATAATTTTGGTGTGTATTACCTCTGCTTCCAGAAAATAATACACATAGCATAGTTACTTATGTAGAATTTTCTCTTTTCTTGGTAGCCAATAGCCACCAAGGGGCTATGAGCACTTGCTATTTGGCTTGTATTACTGAGAAACTGAATTTTAAATATTTACTATTAATTTCTTAATTCTTACACTTAAATAGCCACCTAAGGGTGGGAGACATAATCCAGGACAGCATATTTCCAGATTCATAAGCCATTTTCGTATATGGTTACATTTACGCCATGGGTTGCTGCTGACAATGCCCAGAACACAAGTGCCTTGGAGTGCGTATCCCTTAACCAACCCCTTCATCTTGCAGAAATGGCCCAAGGAGAAGAGTACAAAGCAACATAATGGCAGAGATGATGTTCAGATCTCCAGATATTGTGTCCCTGTCTCAGAGTCGCCAACAGAACTTAATTTTTCATTTCCTTTTGACAAGTGATGAGCTTGGTAAGATGGTGATAATGGTATTCAACAACCATAATAATTAAACACTATGTCCCTTTTTGCGGTACAGTGATAAGAACTGAGAAAAAGGAGACAGAAACAAGGGAGCATTCTTATGACTAGTCTTTGCTCCTTATCACTCCAGTGAGTCTGTTGACAGAAATGGCCATATTCTTATTCAGCATTATTACTAGGCGTGGTTATGAGTCATTAGTTATCTTGTTATGTGAAAGTCACTGATTTGAGTAACACAATGCCATTTGATAAAAAATGACATTGGTATAGGAATCAAACAGGGCTACTTTTCAGAATTATTTTCTGATAATAAAATATAAATTATTTTAATAGTAGTAAACTTATTATAAATGAAGTACATAAGGTTAGTGATATGGGGATCAAAGGGCTATTGCACATGAATCACTAAACAAAAGTCATTGGGAGACTGACACAAAAATCTGTATGTCTTTCATTCATTTAAATCCAGATTTTTTTCTCTTATTAGCAGAAAATATCAAACAGTTAATATATAAGCAAGTTAGTGCAATGTGCTCTTCAAAGCTAACTTGATTATGGTAGAACACAAAAAAATGCCACATAGCTGCTTTTATTTTTCAATCAATATTTCACAATAAATCATCTAGGTTATTCAAATAGTTTTACCTACTATTAAGATTTATTTATAGGATGGCACATAATGAGAAATTCTGACACCTATCATTTAAATAAGAATATTTCCACAATGTTTTTGCAGGAAAAAACTTTCAAACATTTTAGTGCTAAAAACTTTGTGGTAGAATTTTAGTAGATGCTGATAATATTTCTGCCAGAAATTGCAACCAGGCTCCCATTCTACTTAAAGATATTCTTGAAATTAACAGAGTAGCAAGCTGTTAACTATCTGTAGAGGCTCACCTTCCTTTTACAAACTGTTAATAATACTCTGGCGAGACATGTGGTCATTTCCATTACCAACAAAATTTTCTTTTTAGAAAAAATGAAAGCTTTGAGCTTTAAATGTTTATATTTTTTTAGACTTGCAATGAAGGCATGTGTCTTTTATTTCCTCCATATGTTGTTTTAAAATTTTCCATTTATATTGTTATTCTCTGAACTTTAGTAATAACTACAGGTTCATATTGAGAAGCTCATCAAATATTGGGAGAAAACAACAGAAATAATAGCAAGAGCTATTGACTTTAGAAGAACTGAGCCCCAGACTGAGTTCAAAGCTAATTGCTCTTATTTTGAGTTTACATGATAGAAATTGGATAACTATATGGATTTGATGTACCAATTTCTTCTTGATATGCAACTTTTAAAAAGTCTATGTAGTTAACCTATTAATATAAAACTGACAGTCATTTAAATTTGCTGTCTCCCATTCCATTGGAAAGATCTCTGTTTAGAACTACAGGAAATAAGGGCAAGTGTACATATTTATTGTAATAAACTAATAATAAAGGGACAGATATCACTACCACATTGTAAATTATACAGTAAGTCTTAGGTAATTTATTTAGTACCTTAAACACCCAGGAAATTTCACTAGTTGACAGCAATTGAAAATGCAAATTAATTGTGTACTCCATCCCACATCTGAAATAAAAGAAAAATGCCAGAAATAGACTAATTCTGGTTTCCTTTTGAATATCATGTTTTAATTTCTTTTATGTTTCTTTAATCTTTTCAGCAGTGCTTAAGGATTTGGAAGATGCTGATTAAAGCATTTCCTCTGATTAATTATATTTTGGCTTTCAACTGTTTTTTATTTTAAAATCAAGTGCGCACACATTGTCTGGATTATATGAGCATCTGCTCTTCCCAGTCTCTGCAAATATTTATATAAATCTAACTGCCACCCTGATCTCTCCAAGTTCTCACTGCTTAGCTAATCCTGATTGCATCCCCTCATTAAGCCATCTTCAGGATATGGAAACTTAAATAAAACAGATGAACAACCTACATTTCAGGGATATTTGTGTACGTGGCTTGCCACTTAATTCATGTTATTAAATTCTCAGAATTCATTCTAAAATCACAGGGTTTCCTTTACCTCTGCTTTCTTTAATTATACATTTGATTATTATTAATCTAAAAATTACAGGCATACCTCGTTTATTGTGCTTTGCTTTACTGAGCTTCACAGATATTACATTTTTATAAATTGAAGGTTTGTGGCAACTCAGCATTGAGAAGTCTATCAGTGCCATTTTTTCATCAGCACATGCTCACTTCATGCCTCTGTGTGACACTTTGGTAATTCTCACAACATTTCAAACTTTTCCATTATTATTATATGTCCTGGTGATCTGTGATTAGGCCTCTTTGATGTTACTGTTATAATTGTTTGGGGATGCCACAAACTGCACTCACATAAGACAGTGAGCTAGATAAATGTTGTATGTGCTCTTGACTTCTCCATCAACTGGACATTCCCCCGTCTCTCTTTCTTTAGATCTCCCTATTCCCCAAGACAGAATATTGTTGAAATAAGTCATTTAATAACCCTACAATGACCTCTAAAGTGTTCAAATGAAAGGAAGAGCTGCACGTCTCTCACTTTAAATAAAAAACTAAAAATGATTAAGTTTAGAGAGAAAGGTATGTTGAAAGCTGAGGCAGGTTGAAAGTTAGGCCTCTTGCAGCAAACAGCCAACTGGAGAATGCAAACAACAGGTTCTTGAAGGGAATTAAAAGTGATACTCCAATGACTACACAAATAATAAAGATAATAAAGTGAAACAGCCTTATTGCTGATATGGAGAAAAATTTGGTGGTCTGGATAGACTATCAAACCAGTCACAACATTCCCTCAAGCCAAAGCCAAATCCAGAGCAAGGCTTCTAACTCTCTTCAATTCTACGAAGGCTGGAAGAGGTGAGGAAGCTGCAGAAGAAAAGTTTAAAGCTAGAAGAGGTTGGTTATAAGATTCAAGGAAAGAAGCCGTCTCCATAACATGAAAGTGCAAGGCTAAGCAGCAAGTGCCAATGGAGAAGCTGCAGCAAGTTTTCTAGATCTGGCTAAGATCACTGATGAATGTGGCTACACTAAACAGATTTTCAATGTAAATGAAACAGCTTCATAATGGAAAAAGAATCCATCCAGGGCTTTCATATCTACAAAGGAGAAGTCAATGTCTGGCTTCAAAGCTTCAAAAGACAGGCTGACTCTTGTTAGAGGTGAATGCAGCTGGTGACCTTCGGTGGAGCCAGGGATCCTTTACCATTTCAAAAATTGTAGAGCCCTTAATAATTATGCTAAATTTACTCTTCCTGTGCACTAGAAATGGAACAACAAAGAACTGGATGACAGCAATCTGTTTACAGGGTGATTTATTGAATATTTTAATGCCAATGTTGAGAACTACAGCTCAGAAAAAAAATTTCTATATTTTTCACAATATTTTCAAAACGTTTGAAAATATTACCATTTATTAACAATGCATCTGGTCACTCAGGAGCTCTGATGGAACTGTACAAGGAGATTAATGTTGTTAAGCCTGCTTACACAACATCCATTCTGCAGCACATAGATTAAGGAGTAATTTTATTTTTTAAGGAATACATTTTGTGAGGCTATAGCTGCCATAGATAGTGATTCCTCTGGTGGGTCTAGGAAAGTTAAATTAAAAACCTTTTTGAAAGGATTCATCATTCTAGATGTCATTGAGAACATTCATGATTTATGGAAAGAGGTCAGATATCACTATTAACAGGAAATGGAAAGAGTTGATTCCAACCCGCATTGAGAAATTCAAGACTTCAGTGGAAGAAGTAATTGCAGACGTAGTGGAAATAGCAAGAAACTAGAATAGAAATGGAGCCTGAAGATATGACTGAATTGCTGCAATTTCATTATAAAACTTGAATGGGTGAGGAGTTGCTTCTTATGGATGAGGAAAGAAAGTGGTTTCTTGTCTACTCCTGGTGAAGATGCTAGGAACATGGCTGAAAGGACAATGAAGGATTTAGAATATTACATTAACTTAGTTGATAAAGCAGTAGCAGGGTTTGAGAGGATTCACTTTAATTTTGGAAGAAGTTCTAATGTGGGTAAAATGCTATCAAACAACACTGCATGCTACAGAGAAGTCTTTCATGAAATCAATGCAACAAACTTTACTGTTTGCCTTATTTAAGGAATTGCCAGTCATCCCAACCTTCAGCAAACATTACCCTGATCAGTCAGCAGCCATTCACATTGAGGCAAGAGCCTCCATCAGCAAAAACATTCCCATTCATGGAATGCTCTGATGATTGTTAGCATTTTTTAGCAATAAAGTGTTTTAGATGAAAGTATGTACACTTTTCTAGACATAATGCTATTGCACAATTAATAGACTACAGTGTAAACATAATTTTTGTATGTACTGAGAAACCAAAACATTATTTTGACTCACTTTATTGTAATATTTGCTTTGTTGCAGTGGTCAGGAACAAAACAGGCAGTGTCTCCAAGGTATACCTGTATTTTGGATATAAAGACCTTTTCAAGATGATTTACTGTTTTGTATATCTTCTATCCTTTTAATATGACTGAAAATTTAGAATTTATTAGGAAGTTGAAATACAGAGTTTATTAGGAAGTTGAAATACAGGAGATACATGTTGAGTATCTCCTGTATTTGCTTTTCCCTTTATTCTTAGTATTTTGTTCCTCTTTTATCTCTCTATGGGCTAAGAGAATATAAAGAAATAGTACCTCTCCACAAAGATGGAATGCAAATACTTCCTATAAAGACTTTCTTTCACCTGGGTTTCCTTATCTAATTACAGGTTTTATATGGGGACAGTACTTTAATCTGGGGCCTTCGCTTTATTTCATGCTTTGATACAGACTGAGAGACATCTATTTGACTTCGTTTTACAAATTGTCCTTTGACCATGTAGTTTCTGTAGACAGAATGATTTTTTTTTTATTGTAAATATCTAAGACTGAGAATTTCTGTTCTTGCAGCTTTATGTAATTATGTTCAAAGGGGTTTGAATTAAAATAGAACAGATGTGTCCATCTTTAATTATGGTGTAACAAATTGTGTTACTCTAAGGCTTTATCAAGTGAGACACTCATCTTTATGTAATAATGGGTCAGACAGTTTCGAAACGGTATCAGTGAACACAGTGTATTGCCTATTCTACTTAGACTTCAAAAGGGCTGTCAAAACTCAGAGGATGTACAGGTAATCCAGAAGACACTATAGAAAATATATATATTTGTTTTTTATTCTAAGTTAAGTGAAACATATGATAAATCTAAATGTCATCTAAGTAAGACAGAAAAGCTAACATTTGACTTAACAGATATATCTAAAGAGTAGTGAGAACATTCAGCTCTCTGTATTGGAAAATACCATTTTAGGGTTTCCTGAAAACCCTTTTGTATTCTTTTGTGTAAACACTCTCTTAATCAATAAGTGGCCAGAAAAGCCCTTTTTTGGGCATCACATTCAAGTCAGTACAACAAAGTCCTTTTTACTAGCTGTCAGCTACTTAGAGAATCAAAAAATAGTAAGAAGAATATGGACAACTACAAATCTGTGAAATGAGCCCCATCTCAATGTTTCTATTGCTGTGAGTTGTACCACAGTCCTTTTATGCTTGTGGATATATCCAATTCTTTTATGTTTTTTTCTTTCTGCCCTTTCCCAATATGTCACCATTATTATTTTTATTCCCGAATTGTTTTATTGAGATACTCTTTTTGCTTCATTATCATTACCACCCTAATCCAGGCTCTATTTCTTCAAACCCAGATTACTGCATCGATTTTCCAAGTTTTCTTGATGTTTCTCTCCCCCTTTCCATTCTTTTTGCAGTTCATTGCCAATCTAATAAAAATAATAATTTTATTTTTTGCCTTTTTATTTCAATAGTTTTGGGGGTGCAGGTGGTTTTTGGTTACACGGATGAGTTCTTTAGTGGTGAGTGCTGAGATTTTAGTGCACCCCTCACCCAAGAAGTGTGCACTGTACTCAATATGTTGTCTTTTGTCCTTCTCCCCACTCCCAACTTGCCCTCCTGAGTCTCCACAGTCCACTATATTGCTCTGTATGTCTTTGTGTCTTCAAAGCTTAGCTCCCACTTATAAGTGAGAACATATGGCATTTGGTTTTCCATTCTTGATTTACTTCGCTTAGAATAACGGCTTCCAGTTCCATCCAAGTTTCTGCAAAATACATTATTTCATTCTTTTTTATGGCTGAATAATATTCTATGGTGTATATATACTGGATTTTCTTTATCCATTCATTGGTTGATGGGCATTTAGGTTAGTTCCATAATTCTTGCAATTGCAAATTGAGCTGCTATAAACATGTGTGTGCATGTATCATTTTCATATAATGACTTCTTTTTTGGGGGGTAGATGCCCAGTAGTGGGATTGCTGAATTGAATGGTAAATTTACTCTTACTCTTTAATGAGTCTCCATACTGTTTTCCATACTGGTTTACTAATTTATGTTTCGACCAGAAGTGTCAAAATGTTCCCTTTTCACCACATCCATGCCAACATCTATTTTTTTGTGTGTGTGTGTTTTAAATTATAGCCATTCTCGCAGGAGTAAAGTGGTATCTCATTGTGGTTTTAATTTGCATTTCCCTGATGATTAGTGATGTTGAGCAGAAAATGGCAATTTCAGTTTGATGCATCACTTCTTACAATACTGTGGTAGTTCAAGTTTATTATACAAGGCTGCACTTTTGTTTCTGGTCTTCAGGATCATCCATAATCCCTATGCACCTTCTTGTCACCACTGCTCAATAAAATGAACAATATGATTTTCCTTTCATCAAGTGTCTTCATTTTCAGTATCTAAACACAGCCTTTTCTAGGCAGAATTGTTCACTCCATCCCAATACATGTATGTTTACCCTCTCCCCATGCTCTTTCTTCAGCCAAGGACATTCTGGTAACTGTCCCTTTCTCATGAAACTCATTTCCTTTCTTGAAAGGCCAGATTCTCCATGGTGCTTTCTTCTTTTTCATTTTTCCCTTTCTCTGAGTTACCAATTCAGTTTTAGTTTATACCTTAATTGTTTCCTAAACTGGTTTTAACCCCTCATGAAGACTTAATCTCCTTGTGAAGGAAAGCTTTTTTGTAGAGTGGCTCAACTACAAGTATAATCTGGTTGCTTAATTAGCATGCCTTCATTGAGGAATTCATCGCTAGGACTGTGTTCTTGTTTATTGGGATGGGAAGGGGGAGAAAAGATGAGAGGGGCAAAAGAGAAAATTTGGAAAATGAGAAACTTACTTTATTGCACTGTCTGTGCAATTGTTGGTCTTAAGGGAACAAATACACTAAATTCAAAGATGATGAAAAAAAAAAAAACAGCTTCACAGAGCTGTAGTAAACACCAGATGTTGAAAGAGAAGCGTATCAGACTATCCTTCATCTTTCATCTTTAAGGGACAAATTACAACAAATAACCAAAATAAACATAAAGAAACCATAAAGGGCACTGAGTGAAAAGGTAAAGCTACAGATTTCAAAACAGAAGACATATCCAGACAGCCCTTGTCAGTATGTTTCTTTACTACAGAGGGTTGCTGCTGCTAGAAGTCTCTATGCTCCCATGATCTGTTGGTCACTGTACTTCACTTTCCCAACTCTCACCCCCAGTAGACATGCACACTCACATTTTTAGGATCCAAAGAAGAGAGCTGAGCTTGATTTTCTGTCAGGCAGAAGAGCAAGATAGAAAATGTAATTTGAAACTTTTTCCTGCTAATCCTCAACACAGAATTCTGGATTCTCATCTGAGGACTAAGAGCACCTTTAACACTGATGAATTAGAAACGAGGCAAGGACTAAAATTGAGTTAATTCTCTAATATTAGAAAATGAAGAAATACTCATCACTGGATTCACTTGCCTCACTAAATGTATTTTATTACTTGAACATATATAATAAATACATAATTTTTCTTATCCTTTAATAACAAATTCAGAGAGAGAAAACTTCATTCATATTAAAAAGTATAGACTAGAGATGGAAATTAAAAATAATATACCAGAGAGGACTGCTACAAATGAATGACAGCTTGTTAGATAAATACATCTGTTTTTGTAGATCAAATAATGAGGTATGAAGTAGACATGGCTTCAAAGACGATGTTAATTTCTTTTTTTCCTAAATTCAAAATTATTATAATATATATTGTAGAAAATTCAGACAGAGGCAAAAGCCCAAAACAAAAAAGTTACCCTTGATCCCATCCCACTATCTAGTGATAATCATAGTCAATATGTTGGTGAACATCTTACCAAGATGTAACTTTGTGTAGGTAGACATTTTTACAAGAATGATATCACACCGTATACTGTCTAATAAAAAATTTCACTTAACAATATGTAGTCATTTCCCATGCCAAATATTATGATCTATTAAATCTTTTATGTCCAACACAAAGCAACACTAAATGTAAGATAACTCCCCATTTTCCTATGAGAAAGCCAATTTATTTAGCTACAAAGATGTATTTAATACCACATATTTTCATATCAAATTTATGTTGAAACTTTAATATTAAAACATTCCTTATTCCATGAAACATTGGTTTTTCATCAAAGGAAACATTCTTTTAAGTCACCAGATTTTCAGAGTTCATCATTTATAATTTTGTGATGCTGTTACTGGAAATTTTGTCCCAAGCCATAAGTATCCATTTACATAGCATTAAAACGTTTATTATTTTTGTTAATCTCCACAATACAACCACTTATCATATTGCTTTTAAAGGAATCTTGTTTACCACAGTAGCCAACAGTTGAATATTGTGTGGTCAGACTCCAGGAATCACTATTAAATATATGCTAATTTTTGTAATTCCATTTTTTTACTGTTTTAGTCATGTAAACTAAAATGATAAAAATGTTTTAGTTTTTACTAAATGTTTTATTGTTAGTGAGTTCATGTTAACTCTCTCTCTCATCTATCTACCTATCTATCTATCTATCTGAATACATGCAGACATAAAACTCACATTGGTGAAGGCAATTTTGGGCTAATGTGTTTGTTCAATCCCTGAAATGCTATTCAAGACAAAGGAATTGAGAATGCACCCTTTGAAAAAATTGATTTTAAACTAACTCATTTTTTGAGGTGTCATTTTGGGAAAAAGAAATTTATATTTTGTCATATAAATTATAGTAAAGAAAATGGCAAGATCATGTGAAAGATATATTTGAGGTTTTTGTTTAATTCTCAATACAAGCATTTTATACTCCACAATTAGAAAATCAGAAGACTAAAAAAAGAAATATTGAATCTGAAAATAATTTTATAGATTAATTAATTAATTTATTTATTATTGAGATAGGGTCTCGCTCCATCACCCAGGATGGAGTGCAGTGGCATGATCACAGCTCACTGCGGCCTCAACCTCCCAGGCTCTAATGATCCTCCTGCCTCAGCTTCTTGAGTAGCCCGGACCACAGGCTTGTGATATCACACCCCGCTTAATTATTGTATTTTAAAAATGAAGAAATAGTGAGACTAAGAGGGCAAACAACCCTCTCAAGTTTCATAGGCATTTACAGGGTGAGTTCAAATTAGGCAGGTTTCTTGACAGTTTATTACTCTTTACTCAATATGATATTGAGGTGTAAAACAAATTTATCCTAAACTTCCTTCAGAAATTGAGAGACACATGCAAAGGGCCAATTCTAATAAATTCTACCAGCTTAGTAAACTCAGACTAAGGATAAATTCCCCTCAAGCTTCTCTTAAGAAATCTTACAATACTTGTTTTCTAAAAAAATAAGGGCAAACTCTCTTGAGAAATACTTCCCTTTGTTATCTGGATGGATACTGCTTTGCGTATCATACTTCTTTTTTTAGGGAAAGTTACTCAGATGATTTAGTTTCAACTCCCCCAACTTCCCCTAGTCTTTCAGCCCCACATATCTCTGGATTCTGGAAAGGCATTCACTCATTTATTCATTCAACAAACTTGTACTTATTGAGTCAACTGCTACTTTGCACTAAAACTGTGCAAGTCACAGAGGAAATGAATATAAAAAACCAAAATTTGTGATACTCATTAGAGCTATTCACAATGTTCTCATTTTCTGTTTATAAGTGGATGGTATTAATAAATTGGATTTGTCCACCTCCTTACCATTAGATATGAATTTGTTACTTGCTTGTTAAAATTTAATTGCTCGTGCCTGACTCTTCAGGCCTTTCACGTCCCTGCCATGGAAGCATATGTCAAGAGGGAGCCTGAGTCTCTGAGCAACCGCAATAAACACAGCTATTCTCCTGGCCAATGTTGGAAAAGTAGGATGAGAGTATTAAACTACTGAGATTTTAGGGGTTTTATTGGATCTTAACTTAGCTTATCTTGACGGAAAATCCTTGCTTTCAAGATCCCCTTAATTCAGTGAAGTAGAGATAATAATGAAGTATTTCAATTACACTCTAATCATATCTATTATAAAAATATGCTTTATGTGATGGAAGGACTAAGGAAAGAATTTTGAGGAGTTGGTGAGATCAGGCTTAGGAGTCAGAGAGCCTTGAGTTGAAATCTTGACTTTTGTATTTTTAGCTGTATGTAAGTCATTAAACTTTCTAAGCCTGTGATATAGTTTGGATATTCATCCCCTCCAACTCTTATGTTAAAATTTGATCCCCAGTGTGGGAGGTGTTTGGGTCATGTGGGTGGATACCTCATCACAGGTTGTTGCAGTCCTTGTAGAAATGAGTGAGCCCTTGCTCTATCAGTTACCATGAAATCTGATTGTTAAAGAGGCCTGACACCTCTGTCTCTCTCTCTTGCTCCATCTCTCATCATGTGACATCCTGCTCTCCATCTTTCATGATGACTGGAAGTTTCCTGAGGCCCTCATCAGAAGCAGTTGCTGATGCTACCCTTCTTGCATATCTTGCAGAACTGCGAACTAAATAAACTTCTTTTCTTTATAAATACCCAGCCTTAGGTATTCTTTTATGGCAACACAAAATAGACTAATACAATCCACTTTCAATAGTATAGAATATGGGTAAGAGTGCTATTATCTATCTCATAGGGTGGTTGTAGTAATTAGATGAGCTGCATGATAAGCACTCAATAAGAGGTAGTTGCCATTACTATTACTATTTTTTAAATCTGTATGTGGCATAGAATGGGTAGTACTCATACAACAAAATTTAAGGAATGCTGAACAGAAGCATAAAGGTTGAGAAGCTGTGTAGTTAATAAACTGTAAAACAGGCATTGTAGGCAAAAGGATGGGTGAATATTTTAAGTGAGAGATGTTATGCATAGTACACAGGTGAGTGGTGATGAGTGAAGCTGGAAAAGTAGGCAAGAACTGAAAGAAAATTCACCTGTCCACCATGGCTTGGAAGTAGTAATTACCCTGATGGTAGTAGAGAAGTATTAAATGTTTTAATAGCAAATGAACATTTTAGAAAAATCATGAAAGCTGAAGCATGGAAAAGAGATTAGAAAAGAAACCCCATGAGATTGGAAACAGAAATAGCTCTAAAGATATACTAAAGTCTTCCAAGTAAGAAATGTGTGCATATACTATACTAATCATAATTAGAACTAAGGATGTGTGTAACTTCACAAAGAGAGATCTCTTGATGTCAAGGCTAGGAATGGAAGCCTAGGTATTGATAACATTCAAAGGGCTACTACATAAAGCAAAGTGTTCTTGGGGAGAATAAAAAGGGCAGAGAGGAAAAGAAAGATAGGAACCAAGAACCTTGGCTATCATGGATGCCAAGGTAGGGGAGAATGTGAGCAGGGCATGATCAACCCTGTGAAACATGCCAGCAATGCAAAGTAAGATACTATCTTAAGAGTCGTTATGTCATTGGAGAATCAGGAAGCTATCGTTGATCTGCATGGAAGAACTTAAGACTGGTGGAAGTTAAAGGCAGATTTCAAGAAATAAATGAGAAAGGGTGATGGTGGTGCAGAAGTAGAGTAGATTGAGTTTAGACTATAATTTCAAAAAGTTTGGATAAATAATAGAGGATAATTGGGTACACAGAATGAAGAAAGTTTTTTTGTTTTGAAATGGGAGAGACTTATGTATGTTCTGGGTGTTTCTCTTACACCCAGGCAAATGGAGCTCCTGCCCAGAGTCTGCACTATAAAATAATCTCCTCTGGTCTTTTGGCCACATATGTATCCAAAGCAAAAAAAATCTGCATTCCAAAGGGACATGTCCTACTGAAAGACTTGAGAATTCTGGGTCTAAATGTCTTTGGTCACACCTCTAGAACCTGTACAGACTTCTGTACATTTTCCCATTAATATTGCTTTCTGATATGTAGTTTCAAAATTGTTTTTATTCAGTTAAAATACTTTCTAATTTCTCTTTCCATTTAACCCATTAATTATTAAGAAGTATGTTATTATTATTTGAATATTTGAGGAATTTCCAGGGATCTTTCTCAATGATTTTTAATTTAGTTCCACTGTTGTTAGAGAACATACTTTTTATGACTAGAATGCCTTTGAATTAATGACGACTTGTTTTAGGCCCTAGACTAATGGTCTTGTGTGGGCAAATGGTCTGTTTGCTCTTGAAAAATATGTGATTTCTGATGTTGGAGGAGTGTTTCAGAAATAATCTTTTTATATTTGTATATTATGTTGCTTGAAATTGTCCCATAGTTAACCGATGCTCTTTAATTTTTTTAATTTTTAATTTTTATGGATATATTGTAGTTGTACATACGTATGGGGTACGTGTGATATTTTGATGCAAGTGTACAATGTATAATGATCAAATAAAGGTTATTGGGAAATCTAACACCTTAAACATTTGTCATTTCTTTATGTTAGGAATGTTCCAATCCACTCTTTTAGTTACTTTGAAATATACAATAAGTTATTGTTTACCATAGTCTCCTTATCATGCTACTGAACACTAGAACTTATTTCGTCTATCTAACTGTATTTTTGTACCCATTAATTAATACTTTTTTAACCCCTGCCTGTCCACCACCGTTTCCTGCCTTTGGTAACCACCATCATTTATTCTCTATTTTCATGGATTCAATTTTTTTTTTAGCTCCCACATATGAGTGAGAACATGTGATATTTGTTTTTCTCTACCTGGCTTATTTCACTTAGCATAATGACCTCTAGTTCCATCCATGTTGCTGCAAATGACAGTATTTCATTCTTTTTATGGCTGAATAATATTCCATGGTGTATTTGTACCACATTTTCTTTATCTATTCTTCTGTTAATGAACAATTAGGTTGATTCCATATCTTGACTATTGTAAATAAAGCTGTAATAAAAATGCAAGGGTACATATCTCAATATACTGGCTTCCTTTATTTTGGATATATACCTAGCAGTGAGATTTCTGGATCATATGAGAGTTCTATTTTTACTTTTTTGAGGAGCCTCCATACTGTTTTCTCTAGTGGCTATACTAACTTACATTCACATCAACAGTGTAGGAGTGTTCCCCTTTTTTTTCCACATCCTCGCCAACATTCGTTAATTTTTGTCTTTTTGATAAAGGCCATTTTAACTGGGCTGACATAATATTTCATTGTGTTTTGATGTGAATTTCTCTGATGACTAATGGTATTGAGCATTTTTCTTATATCTGTTGGCCTTTTTTATGTCCTCTTTTGAGAAATGTCTATTCAGGTATTTTATTCATTTTTCAATTAGATGATGATGGTGATGCTGATAATTACTTTTCTAGTGTGTTGTTTGAGTTTATTTATATTTTGGTTATTAATCCTTTGTCAGTTGAATAGTTTGCAAATATTTTCTCCTGTTTTGTGGGTTGTCTCTTTATTTTGTTAATTGTTTCCTTTGTTGTGCAAAATCTTTTTAGCTTTTTGTGATCTCATTATCTATTTTTTCTTTATTTGCCTGTGTTTTTGAGGTTTTAAGAGAAATCTTTGCTCAGCTGAATGTGCTGGAATGTTTCTCCAATGTTTTCTTCTAGGATTTCACAGTTTTTGATTTTAAATTTAAGTATTTAATCCATTTCATTTTTTTTATATGACGTGAGATAGGGGTTTAGTTTCATTCTCTTGCATATGGATATCCAATTTTCTTAGCAGTGTATGTTCTTGGCACTTTTGCTAAAAATAAGTTGACTTTAAATGTATTATTTTATTCATGGGTTCTGTTCCATTAGTGTTGCTGGGTTCTATTTTGTGTCTGCTTTTGTGCCAGTATAATGCTGTTTTGCTTACTATAGCTTTGTAGTATTATTTGAAGTCAGATAGTTTGATCTCCAACTTTGTTCCTTTTGCTCAAGATTGCTTTGACTATTTTGGGTCTTTTGAGGTTCCACATAAATTTTAGGATTATTATTTTTTGATTTATGTGAAGAACATCATTGTTATTTTGATAAGGATTGCATTGAATCTGTAGATTTCTTTGGGTAGTATGGACAATTTAACAATATTGATTCTTCCAATTAATGAACATAAAATATCTTTTATGTTTTGTGTCCTATTCAATTTCTTTCATCAATGGTTTTTTTTTGAGATGGGGTCTGGCTCTGTCACCCAGGCTGGAGTGCAGTGGCATGATCTTGGCTCACTGCAACTTCTACCTCCAAGGATTAAGCGATCCTCCCACCTCAGCCACCCAAGTAGCTAATTTTTTTTTGTATTTTTGGTAGAGATGGGGTTTCACCATGTTGCCCAGGCTAGATTCAAATTCCTAAGCTCAAGTGTTCTGCCCACCTCTGCCTCTCAAAATGCTTGAGCCACTGCTCCCAGTCCATCAGTGTTTTATAATTTTCATTGTAGAGATTTTTCACTTCTTTGGTTAAGTTTATTCCAGGTATTTTACTTTAATTATAGCTATTGTAAATGGGATTACTTTCTTGGTTTCCTTTCCAGATTGTTTACTATTGGCATATAGAAATGCTACTGATTTTTGTATGTTGACTTTGTATCTTTGAACTTTACTGAATTCATTTAAAAGTTCTAATAGTTTTTTGCTGGAGTCCTTAGGATTTTCAAAATATAAAATCATATCATCTGCAAAGATAATTTGACTTTTTCTTTTCCAATTTGGGTGCCCTTTATTTCTTTCTCTTATCTAATTACTTCGGCTAAGACTTCCAATACTATAGTGAATGAAAGTAATGAAAATAGGCATCCTTGCCTTGTTCCGGATCTTAAACTAAAGGCTTTCTGTTGTTGGACATTCAGTGTGATAGATGGATTTGTCATACACGGCCCCCATTGTTTTGAGGTGTGTTCCTTTTATACTCTGTTTGTTGTGAGCTGTTTTTTTTTTAATCATGAAAGGGTATTGAATTATATTGAATGCTTTTTCTAACATTTGTTGAAATTGTCAGATGGTTTTTGTCTTTTATTCTATTGATGTGATGCATTGTGTTTATTGATTTGTGCATGTTGAACCATCCTTGCATCTCTGTGATGAATCCCACTTGATGATAATGAATCTTTTTACTGTGTTGTTGAATTTGACTTGCTAGGATTTTGTTGAAAATTTTGCATGTGCGTTCATCAGAAATACTGGCCAGCAGTTTTTGTTGTTGTTGTGTCTGTCTGATTTTGGTGTCAGGGTAATTCTAGCTTTGTAGAATGAGTTTGAAAGTATTTCCTCCTCCTGGATTTTTTGGAATAGCTTGAATAGGATTAGTATTTGTTCCACTTTAAACGTTGGTAGAATTCAGCAGTGAGGCTATCGGCTCCTGGATTTTTTTTTTTTTTCTGGGAGACTTTTTTGTCTTAAAATCAATTTTTATCTTATGTAAGTACACTTACGCGTGCTCTTTTTTTTTGTAAGTATAGTTACTTATGCTTCCTTCTTTTCTATCTCATTACTTGTTATTAGTCTTTTCAGATTCGTATTTTTCATATCTAGAAGTTCATTCATTTCTTCCAGGTTTCCTAGTTTATTGGCATATAGTTGCTCATAATAGTCTCTATTGCTCCTTTTAATTTCTGTGGCATCAGTTGTAATGTCTCTTTTTTCACCTCTAGTTTTCTTTATTTGGTTCTTTTTTCTTCTTAGTCTGGCTAAAGGTTGTTGATTTTGTTTATCTTTTCAAAAAACAAAATTCATTGGTTTATCTTTTGTATTTTTTTGGTTTTGATTTATTTCTGCTCTGATCTTTTATTATTTTTTTCTTCTACTAATTTTGGGTTTGGTAGGCTTTTGCATTTCTAGTTCTTAAAGATACATCATTTGGTTGTTTTTTTTGAAGTCTTTCTATTTTTTAATGTAGGCATTTATTGCTATAAACTTTCCTGTCAGTACTGCTTTGGCTGTACTCACTAGCTTGGTATGTTGTATTTCCATTTTCATTTGTTTCAGTAAATGTTAAGTTTTCTTCTTAATTTATTTAAAGACCCAATGGTCATTCAGAAGCATATTGTTTAATTTCCAAGTGTTTGTATGGTTTCCAAAGTTCTTCTTGTTATTAATTTCTAGTTTTGTTCCATTGTGATCAGAAAAGATACTTGGCATGATTTCAATTTTTATAATTTTTTAAAGATGTTTTTTGTGGCCTATCTTAAGGTATGTCCTTGAGAATGTTCCTTGTGCTGAGAAGAATAATGTGTATTTTGTGGCTGTTGGATGAAATATTCTGTGAATACTTATTAGATCCAACTGGTCTATAGTGCAGGTTAAGTCTGTTTCTTTGTTGATTTTCTGTCTAGATGATCTGTCCATTGCTGAAAGTTGGGTGTTGAAGTCCCCAACTATTATTGTTTAGGGGTGAATCTCTCTATCTCCAATAAAATTTGCTTTATACATCTGTGTGCTTCAGTGTTGGGTGTATATATATTTATAATTGCTATGTCCTTTTGGATTGACCCCTTTGCAATGACACAATGACTTTCTTCGTCTTTTTAAAGAGTTTTTGTCTTTTTTTTTTTTTTGAGATGGAGTCTCTCTCTGTTGCCCAGGCTGGAGTGCAGTGGCGTGATCTTGGCTCACCACAACTCCGCCTCCAGGTTCACGCCATTCTCCTGCCTCAGCCTCCCGAGTAGCTGGGACTACAGGCGCCCACCACAACGCCCGGCTATTTTTTTGTATTTTTAGTAGAGACGGGGTTTCACCGTGTTAGCCAGGATGGTCTCGATCTCCTGACCTTGTGATCCACCCGCCTCGGCCTCCCAAAGTGCTGGGATTATAGGCGTGAGCCACTGCGCCCGGCCAAGAGTTTTTGTCTTGAAATCCATTTTATCTCATGTAAGTATAGTTACTTATGCTCTTTTTTTTGGTTTTCATTTGCATAGAACATCTTTTTCCATCTTTTAATTTTCAGTTTATGCATGTATTTACAGGTCAAGTGAGTTACTTGTAGGCAGCATGTAGTCGGATCTTGTTTTCTTATTCATTCAGGTACTCTGAATGAATAAGAAAACTTTCAATGGAATAATTTAGTTCAATTTATATTCAATGTTATTAATAATAGGCAAGAACTTACTACTTCCATTTTGCTATTTGCTTTCTGGTTGTTTTGTTTGTCTACCTTCTTCCTTTCTTCATGTCTTTTGTTGTGTATAAGTGGATTTCTCTGGCAGTATGTTTTAATTTTTTGGTTTTTTTTATTTTTAACGTTTTCATTGTAGGTTTGGCTTTGTGGTTACCATGAGAATTACAAATAACACTTATAACCAATTATTTTAAACTGATGACAACTTAGATCTTATCACAATAAACAAACAAACAACAACAAAAAAACAAGCAAAGAGAAAACTAAGACTCTCTACAGTTTAAATCCATTCCCCACTCCACTTTTTGATATTTTGTTGTCCTTATTTATCTTTTTATGTTTTCTATCTCTTAAAATATAATTGTCGTAGTTATTATTTTTGGTAGATTTGTCTTTTAGTTTTCATACTAAATTTATGAGTTGTTTAGACATGGAAATTACAGTGATAGAGTATTCTGTATTTGTCTGTGTATTTACTTTTACCAGTGAGTGTGTTATACCTTCAGATAATTTCTTTTTACTTGTTAGTGCTCTCTTCTTTCAGACTGAAGAACACCTTTTAGCATTTCTTGTAAGATAGGGCTGGTTTTGGTGAAACTCCTCAGCTTTTGTTTGTCTGGGAAAGTCTTTATTTTTCCTTCCTTTTTGAAAAATAACTTTGCCAGATATAATATTCTGGGTTGGAAGATTTTTTTCCTCTTCAGCACTTTGAATATGTCATTCCACTTACTTCTGGCCTGTAGGTTTTCCACTGAGAAGCCTGCTGCTAAACATAGGATTGAAACCATTTTATGTGTCATTTTCTTCCTTTGTCTTGCTGCTTTTAAAATATTTTCTTTATCTTTACCCTTTAAGAGTTTGATTATTACATGCCTTGAGGTAGTCTTATTTGAGTCAAATCTGCTTGGTGTTCTTTGACATTCTTTATGCCTAGATATTTATATTTTTCTCTAGGTTTGGAAAGTTCTTTGTCAATATTTCTTTAAATAAATTTTCTACTCTGATCTTTTACTTTACCTCCTCTGTTAGGCCAATAATTTTTACTTTGCCCTTCTTCTAAACCTTGTAAGTATATTTCATTTTTCTTTTTTTCTCCTCTGTGTATTTTCTTATAGCCTGTCTTCAAAGCTCACTAATTCTTTCTTCTGCTTGGTGAGTTCTGTTGTTCAGAGACTCTGATGCATTTCTCAGTTAGTCAATTAAAGTTTTCAGCTCAAGAAGTTTTAAAAATTATTTCAATCTCTGTTTTAACTTTTTCTGATAGAGCTCTGAATTCCTTTTCTATGTTATTTTGAAGTCTGTCGAGCTTCTTCAAGACAGTTGACAGCTATTTTAAATTTCTTATCTGAGAAGTCATATATCTCTGTCACTGAAGGCTTGATCACAGGTGACAAATGTAGTCTGTTTGGAGAGGTCATGTTTTTTCTGGCTGTTCTTGGTGCTGGACATTCATTGATATCTGGTCATTGAAGAGTTAGGTATTTATTCCGATCTTCACAGTCTGGGCTTGTTTATACCTGTCCTTCTTAAGAGAGCTTTCAGAGAATTTAATAAAGATTGGGGGTTATTACCTAAACCCTTGCTCACTGCAGCTTTTTCATCACTAGGGAGTGATCTAAACCCAGCAATGCTGTGATTCTTGCAGACTTCTAGATAGAAAGCCTTGGTGGGTTTGGGGAAGATAAGGGAGAATTCCTTGGATTTCCAGGTGAAGTCTTGCTCTTTCTTCCCTCACTCTTCCCCAAAGAAAAGGAGACTTTCCCTGCACTGAGCAGCCTGGAGTTGAGGGAGGGGTGGCATAGATACTCCTGTAGCCACCACAGCTGACTCCACACTGATACATAATGCCCATGACCTCTTAGACCAGCACAGTACTGGGGCTTGCCCAAGGCCCATGGCTGCTACTGCCTGGCTGCTCCTGATGTTTATTCAAAGCCAAAGGTCACGTTAGTCAGCAGGTAGTAAATCCTACTGGGGCTGGCTCCACCACGCTAAGGTGGCAGATTCCCTTTCAGTTTAGGTGGATCTAGAAATGATGTTCAGGAGCAAAGGCCTGGAATAAGGAGCTTCAGGAATCTACCTAGTGCTTTATTTTAACGTGGCTGAGCTGGCATCAAAGTTGCAAGACAAAGTCCTTTGTAGTCTTCCCTCTCTTTTCCCTAAGACTCCTCTCTGCGCTGCACTACCTGGAGTTGGGGGAGAAGTGATACCCACACTCCTGCGGCCACTGCAGCTAACGTTTTTCCCTCTGGCCCAAGGCTGGTCTAAATGCTCCCTCTGTGGGCATCAGTGGAATTCTGTCCAGAGTCATGCTCCATTTTGACAGGGTGGCAATGAGTTCCAAAGCAAAGTCCCACAACACTTTTACTCTCCCTCCCTCAAGCACAAAAATTTTCTCTTTGAGCTACACTGCCTGCAGAGTGGGGATGGGCAGTATAAGCAATACAAGACTTTCCTCCCTACCCTCTTCAAGGCTTCTTTTCTTGTTATATGTTAAATTAGAACATTTAGATGCTCTTTAATTTTTCATATTTTTTCTCTGTGTATTTCATTTTTAATATTTCCTATACTTATATTCTCAAATGTACTAATCTTTTCTTCTGCAATGTCTAATCTACCATTAATCCTATTCAGTGTATTTCCCTTCAGTCGTAAAGTTCTCATCTCTGGAAGTTAGATTTGGGCCTTTAAAAAGTATCTTTCATGTCTCTACTTAATTTTAATTGAATACAGTTAGTATAACCATTTTATTACTTTCTGCTACTTCTAATAATTAATTGTGTTATTTTGGGGATCAGTTTCATTTTACTGATTTTTCTCTTCTTGCTTGGTATCTTTGCTTTCATGCTTGGTAATCGTTGATTTGCATGTTTCATAAACTTTGATGGGATGTCATGCATCATTAGTTTTACCTTTCTGAGTGCTAGATATGTTTTGTATTTCTATAAGTATTCTTGAATGTCATTCCAGGATGCAGTTAAGTTACTTGGAAACAGTTATATCCTTTCTGGTTTTCCTTTTATGACTTGTTCACTGGGTTTCAGTTTAGTGCTATAAGTTAATTTTTCCTCACCACTGATGCAAGACCTTTCTGAGTATTCCACCAAATCACCTGTATATAATAAATGTTCTGAGTCTGGCTGGTAGGAAAAGGCATGCTTCCTAACCCTGTGTTAGTGCTAGGGCATTGTTCCTGAGGTTTTCTTCCCCTGGCTTTGGATAGTTACCTCACATTGATCATCTCTCTGCATGATACTTGGGGAGATCCTTTGTGGATTTTCCAGGTCCTGCTTCTGTGCAATACTCTCTTCTTTGATAGTCTGTCTTTGGCAGTCTAGTAGCCTGTCTTCCCTGCACTCTCAGCTCTGTCTCTTCAACTCAGGGATTTCACTGGGATCCTCCTGAATTCTCCCTCATCATGCCATGGTCCAAGAATTCTCTCAGGGTAGTAAATAAAATCAAGTGTAAATTTCACTTCATATGTCTCCCATCTCTCGGGGATCCCTGTAATTTGTTGACTTGTGTCCAGTGTTCTGAAAAACATCATTTTATATGTTTTGTCTGTTTTTTTTTGGAGGGCGTATTGCTTCAGGTGGGATGGTAAATCTAGTTATTGTTACTTCATCTTGGGTGAAATCAGGAGATTATAAAATATAACTTTTAAATATTTAAAAATATTGCATGGGGGCTTCCATTTGTACTATTGCCGTGGATTCAACAAATGTTAGGGCAGACATAAAATAATGTGAGACAGGAGTATAAAAATATAAGGGAAAAAGAGAGATAATGTAAGTAATAATAAAGAATTATTATTATCTTTTAAAATTTTTATAGAAAGGAGATAATATAGGATGTTGGAAGAGTGGGTTAAAAACTGGTAATACATGTTGTCGATATTTAGAGATATTGTTGATTGATGACTTGTAAAAGGCTTACTGAACCATACCATAGAACAGTTGCTATTTTAAGGCCTGAAATTAATGATTGTATTAATTCCCTGAGTTATATAATTTTTCCACCAGTTTCCAGCAGACTTGTTGTGGAGCAGAGAAGTTAGTTGGCTAAATTTATCTATGTGGAAAATACAATGAAGCACAGATTTTAGACTGGATATGGAAGAAATTATAAGAAAATTAACAAATTTAGGAATAAATGAGTGAAAAATAGCTAACATTTATTTAGCACCTACAATGTGCCACACCTACACTCTGCTAACTGTTCCAGATTATCTCATTTTATTTTCGTAACAAATTTAGTATGCAGTTATGAGTATCTGCTAGATTAAATATAATTCCAATTTCTTTAGATAAGGAAATTGAGGCCTTGCCCAAGTTTACACAGCTAGGAAGTGTCTGATCCAGGATGTGGATCCAAGCAGCCTGATTTAAGAGCCCACACACTTAATCACTGACTATATTGCCAACGAGTTTAAAATAGAAATAGATCAAAATATACAAGACAGCTGGAAGGATTAGAGGATATGGTCAGAAAGCAGAACATTACTGTTAACAATACCAGGGAAAGAACAGCTTTGAGTAATTTTAAATCTAAATGAAGTAGAATTGAAGTGAATGTAGTTAGAACTGAGGTAAATTAATAACTTTTAGGCAGGATTTTTGATCATTCATATTTATGGACATTCAGATCACCCATGATATTGGCTGAAATGGAGGTGGAGGGTAAGACTATGGGAATTTTTTGTACTTTGTCATATTGAATGAGTTTCTTTGGGCCTTAAGGAAAATTTAAGAAGTTGAGGGACACCTCATTTTATGGGTAAGGAAACATTCCCAGGTCCTCAGCCTGCCATCAGAAAATCTAATAAATGGATGGATTCGCTTTTCTGGAGCTCATTACTTGTCATCACTCCTAAAGTAATCTGGGTCTTGGTCATGTATCCCTTCCCAAGAAAAGATCCTTATATCATTGTTTAGAACTTAATCTTTATGCAGTGCCCCTTTTGGCTTCTTTGGCTAGTTCCTTCACCAGTGATAGAGAGGAACTCCAATACCTTCTAGGTATAGGGTCACCTGAAGCTTCTTCTTGTAACAGAGGAATGTACGAGAATGAGTCTATATCAAAGGGCCAATGCCTGTGGAATCCCCAAGTTTCTTGGCTGTTGATTTAATATTTATGTGATAATCTCATGGAAGATCAGCCCTGTAATACCATTTTAACTCAGGGAAACATATTATTATTATCATTTTAATGATGTACTCTTTTAAGGGGGTTATTATTTACTTAAATTTTCTGATGAGGATTGAATGAAAAGGTGGTGCCAATTTCAGACTAAGAAAGGAGATCATCATCAATGTATACTGTACCCAACGAGATTATAATGTGAAAATCTGTCCAAACGTTACTGCATTTTGGCAATATTCTCTTTCATCTGATTTTGTTTAGTGTGGTTTTCCTGCTCTGTAGCATTTGCTCCTTGGCAGAGGATTTTAAACTCCAGCACTTTGAGGTCCCACAGACCTACAGACTTGTGCCAGGTCGTGGATTTTCATTTGTGGCCAGTTCCATGATTAAAATGCTTCAGAGCACAGGAGTGACAAGGCAACACTGGCATTCCAGTTTAGGCAGTTTGTACAATGGCTAAGCCACAGTTGTATATGGGTATCTTGTTGTCATCATGTTCTGGAGTGAGTCAACTGAAAACCAGATGAAGCTGGGAAGACTTAAAATCAACCTATAAAGCAAATTATGAGAGAAAAATTTATTTTTCTAAAAGAGATTTGAAATTTTCATGTCAACAAATACTTAAGTTTGATTTGCAAATGATTCTTGAAGTTAAAAACAGAATACTTTATATCCTCAAGCTATAATTCTGTGTCCCCTACCATGTTTATATTTTAGCAGAGAATGGATACATATAGGATAACTTTAATTGGAGTGTTAAAGTTACAACCAATTTCTAGGATTAAGAAAGAGAAACAGGTAGTGGTTATATTGAAGGAGGGGGAAGGCAAGGCAAAGTAAGGGCAAAATATGTAATTGGAGTGAATGCAAAGGACAAGGAAATCTTTCTTAAATAGGGGCATGTATTAGTCTGTTTTCACACTGCTGAAAAAGACGTAACTGAGACTTGGTAATTTATAAAGAAAAAGAGGTTTAATGAACTCACAGTTCCACATGGCTGGGGAGGCCTCACAATCATGGCTGAAGGCGAAAGGCACTTCTTACATGGCAGCAGCAAGACAGAATGAGAGCCAAGTGAAAGGGGAAGCCACTTATAAAATCATCCGATCTCTTGAGACTTATTCACTACCATGAGAAGAGTATAGGGGAAACCGCCACCATGATTCAATTGTCTCCCACAGGGTCCCTCCCACAATACATGGGAATTATGGGAACTACAATTTAAGATGAGATTTGGGTGGGGACACAGCCAAACCATATCAGGGCATAATCAATATTGTAAGTTTAAATTTTATTTTCAGAAACTTAACTTGTGCTTGAACCTGCTCCCTCATTGTTATCAAAAGGACCTTCCCGATATACACAAATAGAAAACGAAATAAAAGTGAAAAGAAGAGTCAAATAGTTTTGGGGGAAGCCAAAGCTTCATTTGTGAAAGTCATTCTCAGAGCAATCCTTAATTATGTATGAGGGCACTGGTTATTTAAGGCTGAGGTACAGAAGGTGTCATAGGGTCAGAGACAAGGAAATTGGGGAAAGAAAGCAGTAAAGATAATGCTTGAGATTATGAGAGTGGCTTAACACATGATGTTTTATTTTTCATGCATTATTGTCCTACAATATTTGTAATTAAGATAAAAAAAGATTTTGGAGATAAGAACAACAACAAAAAATAAGTTATAAGGGGTCTCCACATTGTACATATACACTTCCTTAACACTCAGAAATCTGTGTTTTCAAAACTTGCCTTTAACTTTGTTGAAGACAGTGCTTTGGAAAACAGATCCCTAAGTCTGAACAGGTTAATGCAAGCCGTTCACACCAACAAAACGCACATGGCCCTTTTCAACACTCAGGAATGATCCATCTGATACTGCTGAACAGAACTCCTGTGTTATCTAAATAATTTGTTCTTTGGGCATATGAACCATTGCTAATTTGCAAAGGCTGGTTGAACTAAACCTCATTTGGAACGCACTTATTAAAAATGCAAATCTTTTGAGTAATGGTTAAGGGGATAGTATTTGGTTTATTTTTCAAGAAAAAAGATTTGTTATCAGGAATTTGACCTTTAATCCTAGTTTTAAAGTAGCAGTGAGCGTTCTGTTGTGAAAATGAATATACCAATATTTTGGAGGTATAAATTTCCAAAGAATTATGGGGATCAAAAAGTATGAGCTAAACAATGTGGACTTCAGACAATGTCATTAACATTTTCTCTTATAAGTAAACTAGTTTTATAATGTAAGTTTGAAGGAATTCTATTCTAATAGGGAATGAGTTTCATTGTTAAAACTGTTTGCAGCCAAATTGAGATGTCTTTCAGTTAATAATCATTTATTGAGGGCCTACTAGTTGCCAGGTCCTCTTCTAGGCACTGGGGATACAGTAGTAACAAGACAGAGCATTTGCCTTCAAGCAGGTGACATTTTTGCTGGAAAAGATGGACAAAACAAAGGGAAAATTGAAGTTATATAATATCACATAATGATAAGTTCAAAATAGAAAAGTTGGCTAGAGAGTGATCGAGAGACTATTTTAGTTAGGCTGGTTGGAAAAACACTGTCTGAAGAGGCATTTGAATTGAGGTTTCAATGCCATAGAGACAGACAAATTAAGATTTGGAGAAAGAGACCTTAAGAAGTAGTAGTAATAATTGAAAATATCTTAAATCAGAAACAAGTTTGGCATTTCTGTGGTGGAAAGAATGCCAGTATGATTTCCTCCACAAGAAACAAACAAACAAAAAATTCCTATAGGTTTAAGTAATTAGGATACTTTTTCACTCATATAACTAGAACTGCAAAGGTCAGGTTGTTTTCAGGATTGTTTGATCCCATGATTCGGAATCCAGAGTTTATTTCTTCTTTTATTTTCTTTCCCAATGTGTTTGCATTGACCTTTGATCTGTACCCCTTGAAGGGCAGTTCACTTTGTGATTTTAGGGTGGATGCCAGTAGCTAACAGATCTTCCTCATTCAAGTTTAGAGGGCAAGAAAGTTGATTCCAGAAAGTCTCTTGGAAGAGTGGGGAGGAACTTTCTCACAAGCTCTGTAAACCTCTCCTCACATGTTCCTCAAATCTTCCAAATGATCAATCCTGAAATAATCACTGGTGGGGGAAAGATCTACCCTTAGGTAAATCAGGCCCACATCTAGGTATGACTGAGAAGAGGAACCCTATACTCCCCACAATCCTGAGACACATAACCTTCATGGCAAAAAGAAGGACATGAAATAAAATTTATTTTTGGAGGGCAAGGATTGGGGAAATTACTGGTTAGGCAACCTATTGATTATCAGCTACAGCTACTATGGCTATAGCATAGTGAACAAAAAGGAGAGTGAAAAGAAATGAGACAAGCTGTTTAGGCAGAGGTTAGAGAATGAACGGCCTTGTAGGATATTGACTTTGTATTCTGCTGTAGTTGAAGGAAAAATAAATTTTTGGATTTGCAAGTTTGTGTGTGTGTGTGTGTTGTGTGACAAATTCAGACTATTTTTCTTGCAGAAAACAATTACAGAAACTGGAAAATCATTAAAAACAGTAATTTGAAGGCACTGGAAAATAACCAAAGGAAGACAAAAACTTCAGAAGAGTTTATTACTGAAAGACTGCTACAGCGTCAGGTAGAAAGTGTAACATTGTGGCTTGTTATTGCAAAACCTCAGCCTACATGACTCAGTTTCAGGGCAGAAGAATTGCTGAATACCTAAGGGAAAATTCTAGAAGGAGGAGCACCACCAAAGAGCTGAAATGAGCAAAAATTTTGCAAAATTTCTGGATGAACCCAGGGAGTTTGTTGACAAAGCAGGGAGAGAGTAGAGGTGGGCCTGTTCCTGAAAGACAGAATTGCTTCTGGTGAGATACTGGAGTTTGTCCTGTCTTTGATTGAGTACATTCCCTGGCCACACACAGTTTGGGTGGCAGAAAACAGAAGCCTTATTAGATTGATTTGTTACAAGGTAGAATTCTGGCATAAGAAGAGCAACTGGAAGTTTACTAGGGGGACCTAGAGGCAAGAAACCACCAAAAGGGTGAGCCTTTAAATCTGAGCGTAAACTCAGATTTGGCAGACTCCTAAACAAAACAGACAAGGCGGAGGCCACCAGGGGCCTAGGCTGAAAAAGCAGCAACTGGAATCCAAGAACACTTGGCAGTATATCAGCTTCTTCACACCATGGGGGAGACAAATTTCAGTTTGATTCCAGGCAAGTTAGTGGCTTATGGAACCAAAACCTAGCAATCCTATGAAGAAGAAAGGAGATTTCAGAGCCACTATAACACACCAGCTGTGCCAGCCTAAATAACAGACAGGAGACACTATGAAAGAAAATAATATTTATTTGGAATGGGCATTGCAATGGGATACAGGTGCCATAGTAAACTATATGCATATTCAGGGAGATAAAGAAAAGACTGAGGTTTTAAAAGGAAAAATTAGAAACATTACATGATTATTTTGAGATAATTATCCTTGAATACAAGGATCAATAACAAAAGTGACATCAGTCAAAGGTTGGACTAGCAGTGGCTAGACAGATATATTCACAGAAGTAATTTTTGCGTAAGATCTCAATGACTTCTGTGCAAAGTTGTGTTTTTTTGTAGCTTTTCATGATAGTTTTTGTTATTCAGCATTCACACATGAGAACCCTCCCTTCCATGAAGGGACACTTCATGGCCTTCCCTGGCTCCATTTTTCTCCCTTCCTTCCTTTCTTTCTCTCTCTCTTTCTTTCTTTCTCTCTCTCTCTCTTTCTTTCTTTCTTTCTTTCTTTTCTCTCTCTCTTCTTTCTTTCTTCATTTTTTGAAAAAACACAAGTAAATCCATTTTGATTCTGCAACTTTCACATCTGTTATGGATTGAATGTTTGTGTCCCCCCAAATTTATATGTTAAAGCTCTAACCCCCAATGTGACTGTATTTGGAGATGGAACCAATTAGTCCCAAGGAACTAATTAAATTTAAATGAGGTTGCAAAAGTGGAGCCTTGATTTGATAAGATTATTTTCTTTATGAGAAGAGACACTGGAGAATTCTTGCTCTCTTTCTCCTTGCACGCACATAGAGAAAAGGCCAGGTGAGAACATAATGAGAAAGTAGCCCTCTGAAAGCCAGGAAGAGACACTAGATACTGAATCAGCCAGCACCTTCCTCTTTGACTTTTAGCTTTCAGAAATGAGAAAATAAATTTATGTTGTTTAAACCAACCACTCTATGGTATTTGGTTATGGCAGCCTGAGCAAATGGTCATGACAAGTTTGCAACAAGAAATTACTAGCCATAGAAATAAGAAATATGAAATAAAATGGAAAGTGTGATGCATATGCAGGAAGAAACCCATCCAGCAATGCAAACTGATTGCAAGTGGGTCAGAATGTCAAATTAACACAGACATCAAAGCAGCTATTATAAGTTTTCAATAAAGAAAAATACGTTCAAAGATAGAAGGGAAATGAGTTATTGCAGAGTAAACAGGGAATTTAATAGAGAAATGAAAACTAAAACTAAAATATAACCAAATGGAAATTTTAAAATTGAAGATTACCATAACTGAAAATAAAAATACCTTAGATGGGTTCAAAAGTAGATTGGAGATGGCAGAGAATAAGTTAGTTAACATGAACATAGTTCAATATCCAACACAAAGGGCAGAAATAAAAATAAAGAAAAATGAACAAAGCTTCCTCAGAGGCTGGTGAAAAAGTATCATCTGGTTCAACACATGCGTAATTGGAGTCAAAAAGGAACAAAAGAAAGAAAGGGACAGAAAAATATTTCCAGAGATGATGGCAGAAAACTTCTGATATTTGAAGACAAATATGAACTTATACCTACAGGAAGTTCAGTGTGTCCCAAATTGCAAAATAATGAAAACCACATCTACACATATTATAGTTAAAATGTTGAGAATCAAACATTAAATGGAATACATTGAAAGCAGCAAAGGAAAAATAAATCAATTACATACAGGGGACTATGATAAAATTATAAGCTGACTTCTTATCAGAAATAATAGAGGCCAGGAGGCATTAGAATGACATATTCAAAGTGCTTAAAGAACAACAATGACAAAAAGATTAACTGAGATTTCTATACCCAGCCAAGCTGTCTCTCAAAATGAGTTTCCAATAAACAAAAGTTGAGATAGTTTGTTGCACCAGTGAAAACAAGACCTTCAGGCTGAAAAGTAATCAGTCATAAAGGAAAGAACAAAAAGGGCCAGATATTATACATTATTGCCAATATATAAGTAGATATTTATAGCTATCTCTTAATTTTCAATTTTTTAAAAGATCTATGGCTATGTAAAGCCAAATTTATAACATTATATGGTTAAGTTTATAACACACATTGATGTATTAGGTTGGTGCAAAAGTAATTGTGTTTTTTGCCATTACTTTTATGCAAAAGTTTTGGCAATTACTTTTAATGGCAAAAACTGCAATTACCTTTGCACCAATCTAACATTATATATGAAAATGATAACACAAAGGACGAGGGCATTAAATGAAACTATATTGTTACAAGCTTCCTATATATCACCAAAAATGTCAATATTTAAATATATTGAAATAATTTAAAGATTAGTGTTAATATCCTAGAGCAATCATTAAAAAACGTAAAGAAATTTAGCTAATAATACACAAGAAAAGTTAAGTTATATGACAAAAAATTTGTTTAACCCAAAGAAGGGAGGAAGAAGGGAACAAAATACAAGTGAGGCAAGCAAATGATGAATAGCAAAATGGCAGAAATAAGTCCAGGCATATTGATTAATTACCTTAAATGTAAACAAACTTCAATCAATAGAGATTGTCACAATAGATAAAAAAAGCAAGACCCACATATATCTTGCCTACGAGAGATGTATTTTGTTTAATTTTTTATATTGCATTTTAAATATAAGTATGTTGAAAGTAAAAAAATAGAAAAACCATAATGTGCAAATGGTAAGCATATGAGAGCTGAAGTGGCTACAGTAACATCACATTAAATAGATTTAACACAAGGATTATTACTAGAGACAGAGGTGGATATTTCCTAATAAAAGTTTTGATACAACAGAAAGATATAACAATTATAAATGTGAATTCATCTACTAAGAGACCTGCAAAATACTTGAAGAAAAACTTGGATAGAACTACAAGAAATAATAGACAAATTAACAATTACAGCTGTAAATTATGTTTCTCTTCAGTAATTGATAGAACAAGTTTACAGAAATTCAGTAAAGATATAGAAAAATTAAACAATACTCTCAGATGATTTGACCTAATTGTTATTTATAAAATACTCTAGCCAGCAACAGTAGAATATATTTCTCTTCAGAAGAACATGGGACATTTAGCAAATTAGACTATATTCTGAGCAATAAAACACTGTATTAATACATTCAAAAGGATTGAACTTACCAAAAGTATATTATCTGACCACAGTGGAACCAGATTAAAAATTAATAGTAAAGACATATGGAAAATCACATGTGTTTGAAAGTCAACTAATAAACTCTAAAAATAATCAATGGATTAAAGAAGAAATAAAAGAAAATTCAAGAAATTTTGAAGTGAATGAAATTGAAATCACAAAATTTAAAATATCAAATTTTTTGGGATATAATAAAGTGGTGTTTAGAGAAAAATTTGTAACAATAAATTCTTCCCCCACAAAAGAAGAGAGATTGAAAGTCAAAGCTTCTGCTTTCATGGGCTGGAGAAAGAATAACAAATTAAATGTAATGAAAGTAAAAAAAAAAAAAAGGAAATAATGAAGTTAAGAGCAGAAATTACTGAAATAGAAATTTTAAATTTTTAGAAATGAATAAAATGGAGAAATGCAATAAAGCCAAAAGTTAATTATTTTCAAAAATAAAAAAACTTGATAACTTGACAGAGCAAGCAAAAATAAGAAAACACAGATTACCAATATAAAAAATAAAAGATGAGCTATCAGAATAAACAGATTCGAAAGATTAGAGACTCTTATGAACAGCTTTATGCTAATACATTACAAAAATTAATAAGATGAAATTTTTGAAAGATAAAAATGATTTGAGATAAAAGAGATAACCTAATAGTCCTGTATTAATAAATAGTGAATTATTGAAATTTGTAATTTAAATCCATTTTATCAAGGAACTCTAGGTATGTATGGCTTCTTTGGTAAATCCTATCAAATATTTAAGGAATAAACAATACCAATTCTATACAGATTCCTTTAGGAAAGGATCACTTAGCTGTTGGATGGAGAACAGATTACACACAAGCAAGGGTTGAAGCAGGAAGGCTGGTTAAGATCCTATTAAAATAGTGCACATTAAGTTGATGGTGAATTAAATTAAGGTTGTAGCAGTGAAATTGGCCATTGTGGTTTAACTAAGGACATATTTTGGAGGAAGAGCTGTATATTTCGGTGCGAGGCAGTAATGAAGAATTCTAGTTTGTATGTGTTGAATTCAAGATGCTTCTGAGATAATCAAGTGGAGTTGCCAGCTGGACGTTTGATGGAATGGTATTGTCTTTAGTGGAGAGTTCCAGGCTGAAGATATGGATTTGGGAGTCATCAACATACAAACAAATTTTACCAAGGAACTGAATGAGATCATCTAGGCAATAGGTGTAGATGGAAGAGTAAATACTGATATGGACACCTTCTTAAAAGTCTACCAGTATTTTTTCCCAATATATCCATTTTATTGTTTCTCTCTACATACATTTATTTGCTAATGAAAATTGTAAAAACAGCATATCAAAACGTACTTTTATTGCAATTGAAATTTTTGAAACCCAGAAAATTTAATTAATTATGCTACAGCCAAACTACCCAATATTTTCTTTACATTATTTCCTCACAAGTTACTTTGCTTTAAATTCTTGAGGTTAGAATTCATCTCACTGACTTTAGGCTTCTAAAACACATGGGAATACTTGGGATCCACTGTTGCTTCTTTGGGTCAAATAAAAAGTAGAGCTAAAGTATATAGAAGTTATTCAAATATATTCCAACTATACAGATTCCCAATGGATGACGACTGGTATCAGGGTAGGAAGGAAAAGATACGAGAAGAAAAAGACATCACAGAACTCATCATAGGTTATCAAAATTATCAGTATATAGTCTATACTATCATAGAGTAGCCTCCACAACCTCATGCATAAAATTACCGGCAAGAAAGAAAAGTAAAGGAATAAGGTTTAAGGCTAAGTCACCTCACTGTCATAATTCTCTATTCTAGTATTCTCAGAAGGATCTCATTTGTGATACACAAACTGCAGCCACATTTGAATGGTTCACTTATTGCTCTATTCTGAATGACTTTCTGTAAGCCCAGTGTCCGTTAGTTCTCTTTCAAACTGAGAAAATCTGTTCAATAAAAAGTATCTCAGTTTTACCATCCTTTTTTGAACAGATAACATGTCCTTACTACTCTCCTCTTATAAGGCAAGCCATCGCTGATCTCCCGGAAGATTTGTTCTCTTCTATCCTGTTGTTGGGTGAACCTTATGGTAGAAGGGAAGGGAATTTGGTACTAGGGTTGAGAGTCAGATTAAAAAGCTATATTAGTATTTTAGAGGAGAAGTTATGAGAGGCCTCTGGTTGTGAGCACTTGTGAAGACTCTGGGATCAATGTTGGGTTAAGATTTGTGATAGGTCTGTCAGTGATCTAGTCACAGCTCTAAGCATCTCCCTGGTTCTTTGGATCCCAGAGGAAAAGTGTTGATACCCCTTCAAATGTATGTAAAATAACCTGGAAATAACTCTATAGCCCAGAAAGGGCCTAAAAACCCAAACTACAGCAAACAGTGGGGAAAGGGAGCCTACTAGTATTTTAGAAGCTTACATGAACAAGAGAAGGAAGCAAATGATGTTACTCTATATTCAATATTCTTTATTTCTCAATAACTTTTCCAAAATTATTCTCACAAAAACTCAAAACTTAACTCCTGACCCACATATTCACTCAAGACACCATGCTCTCTTTTTCAACTGGACTGTGCAATGGCCACTCTGTCCCTTTCCTATCTCTCCAGGCTAAAATCAACCCCATTTTGTGTCATCCCCATTAGTTGTTACTTCCTCTTTCTGGGGAGTTCCTTCCGCTGACCTCCTTACATTGTGCTCAATCCTATTCAGATTTCAGCTTGTATTACCCAAACCCAGAGAGCCTTCCCTTCCCTCCCTGGCTGACCAAAATCTATTCTTTTCATCTTACTCTGTCCTATTGTATGATTTAATTTTCTCCAAAGCCATTTCATTATTTAAAATTATTTTTATCATTCATTGCCACATTATTTCCTCTTTTCCCCACTTTTCTATATTTCTAAATATTGGTGTGCTCTGTGATTTGACCTCAGTTTTCTTCTATTTTTTCATTGTACTCCTCTCCCACTCTAAAACATATTAATTATTCAAATCAATTTCCTGCCTTTCTTATTTATTTCCGTATAGTCAGCTCTAGAATAGTGCATATCTGGTACATTGTAGGCACTCAGCAAATATATTTTTTTTTTGAGTGAGGTGAATGAATACTGAGGACTTTTGATCTTAGTTCCTTAAAATGGCTAATTTCAGTCTTTAACTTGCTACAGATCTTCACCTATCTTCATCATTCTTTTCTTCTAAGAGAAAAATTCCCCTCCCACTCCAAGGCTGAGTTCTTCTCGTATTTCCTCCATGTATTCTTATTTCATTAGCTTCAAGATATAGCTCTTTGAATTATATTCTATCTTAGTTTCAGTTACTGTTTACATTCACTATTTTTTTTCAGCCTACAAATATATTCAAATAAAAAACAAACAAGATCTTTCCCTTGTTCCTGCCATTTTCTCATGCTATCATAGTTTCCCTCATTCTTTTGGTGGCTACACTTATTGAAAGAGCCTCAACATTTGACCTTTATGTTAAGCTCAAGCAGTGATTCTGGCATTTACCAAACTTTTTATTCTAAGGTTACCAGCAATTCCTAGTTATTAAACCCAATGACTTTTCTGAATTCTTATCCTCTTTAACCACTCTGCAGCACTCAATACTCTTGTTGGTCTTTTCTTTTTTGCAACTCTTTTGTAAGTTGGTTTCTATGATACAGTGTTCTGATTTGCCATCCACATCTCTGAATTCTCTAAATCTCAATCATTGTCTCAGTTTCCTCATTTTACCTACAAAAAGAAGGCGTTCCTTAAAAATCCCGTTCTCCACCCTCCTTCCAATGGCCAACTCACTTGATATCTTGGTTTTAACAATTAGCAATGGGTTGGTGATTTATAAATCTGTAGTTTGACTTTCTGCAGAGATCCAGACCCTTATTTCCACTGCTGAAGATCTTAACCTGAAGTCCTTAACCTGAAGTCCTTGGCATAACCTCAAAGTCAATATTTCTGAAATGAAACCCATCATCATTCTTCCCAAACTTCTCCTTCTCACTATATACTGGTGCCCCTTTACCTAGATTTGTGAACTTTGGTATTTTCTTTTATCTCTATCTTTTCTTTATTTTCATATTAAATTATTTGTTAAACCCTGTTTATTCTAGCTCTGTTACGTCTATAACATTTGTCTGCTTCTCTACATTTCTATCAGTACTGCTATGTTCAGACACAGTACTGTTGACCTATAAATGATTGAATCTGTATTACAATTGCTTTTTTTTTTCAGATTGTAATGTCTCCTTTCAACCATGTTGCATTCTGTTGATGGCTTAACTTTCTTAAAACACACTATTGATCATGTTGTAAATATTAATAGTAATAATAGTGAAAAATTATTGTTTACTGCATGCTAAGCACTCATTTAAGTACTTTATAATTAGCCCTCATACAAATCTTATAACACAGTCACTCTTAATATCTTCATTTGTGGAAGAGAAAACTGAAGAATAAAAAAGGTGTGTAAGTAATATTCCCAAGATCACACAGTTGGGCAGTGTTACATCTGGTATTTGATGATTTTAACCAACACACAGAACTGCATTGGTCATAAAACCTGAAAAGACTCTTTAGGTCTACACAGTGACCATATGTGACTTTTATTTAATTCACTCTTTTGTAATTGAAAAAAATTCAGCCTTGTTTAAGCAATATCAATGATATAACAGATTTTATGTGCTAATGAGATATGATTTTTCATTTTTCACATACCTCAAAACTACATATATAGCCATCAAACTAAAAAATGTTACCAGTTTATGACTTAAAATCATATTGCATACCATATTTCAAGACATGCTTGCCTGCAAAACAGTTATAATTGTTATGCTGCTATGCAATTGTTTTGTCATTCAGATTTATTAATGATGCAATTTTAACTTACATATGTAACTTTCCCCCACTTTTACCCTTTATTGTCTCATCAGTAAAAGTAAATAAATGAATAAATTATAGATGAGTAAATGCAGTTCCTCTTTCCTCTATATACTTCACTCCTTCTGGATTTTTTTTCAATTTTGTTTATGCTACCTCCTTTTGAATAGCATGAACTGAACTTCTGAATACATCAAAATTCTGTCTTTTCCACTCACGAAGACTCAACTCAGTTGTATATTGCTGTGACTTGATAGATTTCTATATTCTAAACCAGTGCTTTCCAGTAAAACTCTTCACAATGAAGAAAATGAACTGTTCAATACTGTAACTGGTGGCCACATGTGGTTATTGAGCACTTGAAATCTGGCTAGTGAGACTAAAGAATTAAACTTTTAGTGTAATTTAATTTCAATTAATTAAAATTTAAATTTAAATAGACACGTATGGCTAATGGCTTCTGTACTGAATAATACAGCTCTAAACTATCAATGAATACATTGGTATTGCTGAATGACCAACTTATTCTTAAAATTTATATTATGGTAGCATACACCTATCTTTTCTTTGTTACTGTTTATAATATTCTAAGGGAAAGAATTGGCATTTTATAATTTTTCTGTGTATCCTAATGCATCTTGCACATTTATCTTTGTTTAAAAGTAAACAATACAATAAATATGTGTTATGTAACTGAATGAATGGATGACCATCTGTTAACTTTGTTTGATTGTGTTAGTATTAGTGGTTTCAAAAGCTGCTCCATAATTTTTTTCAAGATAATAACAAACATAAAATAAATGCTTATCATAAAAACTTGCCCTCATCTTTGCAAATGACTATATGATACCTTAAGGTAAAATGCTTTCATTTCATTAATTCATTTATGTTTTGCTTGGCATTGCTAGACACGAAAATCATCTTTTTTTTTGTTAATGATCTTCGCTCCAAAGTCAATCTGACCACAGAGCTCTGGTTTTACTAGAGCTCAGTCAACAAACCCTGAACGTGTTAGCCTAGATTCACCATAGCTCTAATCAGCATTTTGCACATGGAAAGCTCCCCGTGTGGCACAGACCTTTGTGACATTTGTTTCTTTCTAATGGAACTGCCTGTTCCTCCCTCTGCTGGTTTCAGAATAAACGCCTTGTCAAAAGAAGAATTAGATTGTGACAGCTTATTTCTATGGTTAATTGAGGCGGTAGATATACTGGACATTTATCTAAGTGCAGAAGAGAAGATTAAGACATATTTTCTACAGGCATTCTCTGTTTTAGAGGAGGTCACTTTCTGGAGTCCTTTTAATATGCTTGTGCAATTAATAGTAGTGATAATTCTGCTTCATATCATAATGTCCTGAAAGTTCTTTCAAGCTGACAGATAAAATTTTATTTTTGTAGGGTCTGAATTATTTGAGTCTTCTTCAACTCCACCCTCTAGGTTTTCCCCCTTTAGTCCTGTGAATTAATATTGACTGAAAAATACAAAAGATAATGTACAAACCCACTCAGTTTAAAGAAAACAGGGGAAAAGGTCATATGTGAGATTACCTTAATTATTGCCCCTAAATTTGTTAGGGCAGGTCCTGGCATTGTTAGGCCAATCATGACAACATTTGATTTTTTGTGTATTAAAAGTTCTTCAGCATTTAGTTGCACTTGTTGTCATTGCTTTGTAGTGCAGGCTATTGTTTTTATTTTTCAGGAAGATTTTATTTTTTAACATGCTAAGGCTATCTCATGCAGATATCAAACAACTTCCGCAGAAGTGATTCTCGTCATCTAATTTAATGTTAGGTATCATTTATTATGGCCACTATATTAAACGTTATATTATATTTGTAAGATTCCATTTCAATCTGTAAAACATTTAAGTAAAACTAAAAATGTTGTAAATGTATAGAATATCAATTTGTGAAAAGGTTGACAAAAGCATACATGCTTTAAAAACTGTTAATGCAATTCTCCATTGTTATAAATGTGATAGGTATGAATTTTTATTGGGAAAAGAATTAATAGAAATAAATTATAAGGCTAAAAAACTATTTAAAAAAAAGCAAAAATAATTTTTACTTAGAAAAGGTAAATCACTCCATTTAGGCCAAACCACAAATACAGATAATAGGCCAGGATGACTAAAGTACCAATGTTGAAAGAAATCAAGTGTTTGCAATTTAAGAGTCAAAAGAACTAGCCAAAGAGAATATCAGATTATATCAATAAATATTAGTGGCTCACAAAAAGGATCTTATTTCAAGGGCACAAACTATGTTTTAATGTTTAATTTTCTTAAATATTATCTTAGATTATATTTAATATTTCTTAAATATTATATTTGATTATCTTAGAATATCATTTATTAAGATCACTAGATCGGTAGAAATTTTAGAAAATATTTATTTAAATAACACTAAAACCTATTCATAAAACTGTTATAGAAAAAACAGCTATTTCTAGATAGCACTATTTAGACATTAAGGCTATAGAATTATACTTTCGTTGACTGGAATTGCCCCATGTAAAACAGAGTAAAGTAGAATACTGACCTAAAATATGAGTCAGAATTAAGACAAGAAAGGAACATAATAACTATAAGAAACAGAAAAAAAAATAAGTGAAAATATTGTGTCAGAAAAAGAGAGTAAAGGGTGTAGACCAATTATCTAATGATAAAGTTTTTAGGAGGCAAATCATTCATAGATTTATTTTTATTTCTTTCACATGTTGATCTATCAAAACTAATATCTTCCAGCTAAGTGTTTAGTTTATTCCTGCCAAGGAGCCTAGATATTAGAGAGTTTGGGATGATGTATATTCTTTATACATGTGTAAACAGGGTGCCAGTCAAATTGGAGATTAAATGGGTTCTCCATGAAAGAGGTTACTTAAAACGCCAGGCTCTTGCTTATGTTTAGTGGAGAAAAAGCCCCTGAAGCAGGGAAAAACCTCAGTGGCTTGCACTTATGCCAAGTTAGGGCTGGGATCTGGTCCTCGTCCTGAGATTAGGGTGTGGCAGAAGGTTTGTTCATGAAGATTACCACTCTTAAATGTTCCTAGCCAAAAAATGTGTTCCTTGAGAGAAAAATAACATCTGTTTGTAAATAAAGACCTGAGGTCTTCTCAAAGGGCAGAGGACAATTAGTAACTTGGATATTCCTCCTTGAAACTGCAATTTGGAAAATCAAGCAGAATGATTCTCAATGGTATTGGTCAAAGCCCATAGACAGGGAGGGGCAATGAGGCTCCTGAAATAAAATTTCCTGTAGGAACGGAATAGTATGGGCTGGCTCTTTAGATTGAATATAAGGTACTAACTATTACTGTTACTGTTGGAGGTAGGTGGTGGTGAGGTCTTACTGGTTATAACAAAGCATGAGGCTATGGTGGGAAGGCATTCATGGCCTAGCCTTGATGCTGTTATGTGGGAAACAGCTGCTGGAATAAGTGAGTGGTTCTCAAGAGGGTGTATCTTCAGACTCCAAGCATGGAGACCCACTGTGTCTACCTTGGCAGATAAAATAAACATTTACAAGATTGAGAAAAGCAATTTCAGCAGCGACACAATTTAACGCTGAGAGATAATGACAGTAAAGGAAGACCAGGTGTGAGATTCCTATAAGATTGGTTTCAGAATAGAGCAAGAGGAACTGTTTGGAAGTGATGGATATGTTTATGGCATTAATTGTCATGATGGTTTCATGGGTATATGCTGATCTAAAAATGTATCAAGTTATAGACATTAAATATCCACACCTTTTCATGTGTCAATCATACATCAATAAACTGTTTTTCTAAAAAAGAACTTAGAAGATAACTTGTTCTGACCAGGAGATCAACTATGAGTTCTACTCATTCCAAGGAAAGTGACCACAGGCAACCACTTTTACTGTAGGCGTATTCTTTGCTCTCTCCCAATCTGATTCTTCACCCAATTTTCCTGCAGCATGAAGAGTTTCTCTATATCCTTTTCAATCTAACTTGTTCAGTTAGCCACTACTTGGTGTAGGATATTTCTTCCGAATATGATTCTTAGACTAAGCCATCTCAGAGTTGCCTTTTTACAAAGAATGGCTACCTTTGAGATAGAAAGTGATCCTTGGTACAATCCTCTATAGTCAGGACATCAGTATTGAGGAAATGAAGGGCAGATAGTCCCAATAAATCTGTGACATGAGTCTGTGATACAGTCAGAAGAGTGACACTGCCTCCTCCCTAACAGAATGGGGAGGGCTAGGCAGAAGCTGCCAATAGATGGGGCTTAATTAAGACCTGTGGAGACCTCAAGCACTGAGAATATTATGGTACTTCTGAATGAGCAATCTAAATATATTAATCTGAAAAATACATATACAAAATTCCAAAGGAGTTCTGATTTTTCTTATGAAGGATTTTTGTTTTCTTATTTTTTGCTGTTGTGGTTTCTATCTTGCAGGCCTCCTTAGCAGCTTCTTTTTCCATCAAGAAAATATTTCTGGACAAAAACAAACCCATAGCTGGTTGGAAGCAGGGCATTGGGCCCAGTGTTAAAGATTTGAATAAGAAAGATGCAGAAGATATTAATCATAGGCTTATCAATGCCCCTAGGAGATCTGTCCCCCTGATTGAAGCAACTCTGGCCTTTGGAAGTTCATACCCAAGAAGTATGATATCAATCTTATTTTTAAATAAAGTAAAAATTTGATTGCTGACTTGGTTCACTTGTGCACGATGCAAATCTAACCTTTTTGGGTAGATTATTATTTAGCTCTGAGCTTCAATTTTCTATTAGAGTGAATTGTTTGAATGAAAGTACTGGATAAGATCTGGAAGCCAGTTTCTAATCTCACATTTCCTACTGGTTAACTCTGTGGCATTGTAAAACAGTTTACACTGTAGGCCAACAAACTAATCTCAGGTTTCTTCTCCTTCTCCTTTTCTTCCTCCTCCCCTCTCTTCCCTCTACTTATTTTTTTTTGTCTTTGTCTTCATCTTCTTCTTCTCTTTTGGAGGTCCTGTAGAAGATTAAAAATAGGGCTCCCAAAGGCCTTTTCTGGGCCTACCCCTTAACTCTCAAATCCAATGGGCACTAACAAATTTCTTAAAATAAAAAATATAAGAGATTATGCAGCATTGTAGAAACATTATGGACATTGGAGTTGGGCAGACATAATCTCTAATCTAAAATCCATCGTTCACTGTTTGTGAAATGTTAGGCAATTTTATATCTTTCTGAGGTCAGAATTTTTAATCTATAAAATGATGATGACAATGCACACTTCACAGTGATGTGAGTATTAATAAAGGTAAAATACATAAAATACATAGCACAATGTTTGGTGCAGAGTCAAGTCTTCATTATTTTTAGCTCTCTTTCCAGATGGATACCCAGGGAGCCACTTTACTGTGTACTCATCAGCATATGGCCTAAGTGGCGTTTTTTGTGCTTTGTTAGTCATAGGCTAGATCCTGGGAATTATTCATCATTTTGAATAGCCTATGGACACCTGTTTCTTTTCTTTCTTTTTTTTTTTTTTTTTTTTTTTGGGACGGAGTCTTGCTCTGTCACGCAGGCTTGAGTGTAGAGCGCAGTGGCGCGATCTCAGCTCACTGCAACCTCCGCCTCCCCGGTTCATGCCATTCTCCTGCTTCAGCCTCCAGAGTAGCTGGGACTACAGGTGCCCGCCACCACGCCCCGCTAATTTTTTTGTATTTTTAGTAGAGACAGGGTTCACCGTGTTAGCCAGGATGGTCTCGATCTCCTGACCTTGTGATCTGCCTGCCTCGGCCTCCCAAAATGCTGGGATTACAGGCATAAGCCACTGCGCCGGGCTTCTTCTTATTCTTTAGTTCTGCTTTTGACCCTGCCGATTGGTATAGAATATAGAATATAATAACTTTTTCTAATTAGTCTCTATATAGTAGTGCATTCATTAATAAATTTTGCACAGAAACATTTTCCAGAGTGGCTACCTTGTGTAGGATCTACTTTGGATAGGGTATACTATGGTAAATAAGATAGATAAGTCCCTGCCCCCATGAAAATTACTTTGCACAGCAAACCCGGAAACAAATACATAAAACAAGATAAACATTGTGAAAAATGCTAAGAAAGAAAGAGTATATGCATCTAGAATTACTGAAAGTAGAAAAGGGCCACTTTTTGATTGGGTGGTAAGGGACTGACTGACTTTCTTTCTCCCTCTCTCTCTCTCCTTTCTTTTTCTGAAACCCAAAATTAAAAAAAAAACAAAAAAACAAAAAACACTAGCCATCTGAAGAGCCAGCGAAAGAGACTTGCCAGCCATGGGGATGCAAGTAAAAGGCTCTGAGGCTGGAAAGAACATGGCAGGAGTGAGGAGAAAAAAGGAAGCTGGTGCGGCTGTTGTATAGTGACATGCAATAGAAGGGAAGAGTGGTGCATTACGGTATGAAAAGATCCTGGTAGGAGCCATTTTTCCCCAAAGAGCAATAGGGACTCCTGAAACCACTTCATACAAGGAAGTGATATTACTCAACTTATGTTTTAAAAGTGAACAATTTTTGTGGCTATAGAAAATGGCCTAGAGTGAGAGAAGAATGGAAGGAGGGAGTCAAGATAGAGACATGCTATTTTTCAGGTGGAAGATGTTGATAGCTTAACTAAGACAGAGATAATAGAAACAAGAGAAGTGGGCAGATTGGTATATATTTGGGGGTAGAATTGAAACAGCAGCACAATAGACTGGTTGAAGGCAGTGAGGGAAATGAAGGAAATGAGAAAATAGTTTGTCAATTTCTGAGATGACAAAGATTGGGGAGACATGAGAAGAGGGATCAAAAATTATTTTTGAGATGACATATGTTGGAGGAAACTAACCTAAGACATCCAAGTTGGAGATATGAAGTGGGCAGTTAGATATAGAAGTTTAGAACTGGGGAAAGATGTTAGATGGAGATGAAGATTTGGAAATAGCATAAAGATATTCCATAGCATTAAATCACCTTGGGAGAGAGTATAAGACAAAGAGAAAAAGTGACTCAAGGTAGAATCCTGATGCAATCCAGTAACTTCACATTGGTCGCAGGCCGAATAGTTAGCAAAGGAGACTGAAAATGAAAGAGCGGTGAGGCGGGAGGAAAACTGGGCGTGTGTAGTGATATGGAAGGTGAGAGAGGAGAGGGTTTCAGGAAGGAGGTGTGGTGAGCTAATGCTGCTGAGTCATTATGTAAGAATAAAACAAAGAGATTCAATTGAATTTTGCAAACATTTAGGTCTTTTGTGACCTTGAAATGAGGAATGTAAGTTATGCTGGGCAGGTGGAAACCAGATTGGAAGAAGTAGAAGAGTAGTTGGAGTAAGTGAAACTGAAGATGACAGTAGTAAACAACTATGAAATAACTTTTTTTTTGTTTTTCTTCTTTTCTAAATGATTTGAAATGAGATAGTACCTGGAAGATAATGTAGGTTCAAAAATGTTTATTTTTAAATAGATACTACTAGAACATATTTATAGGTTTATTGGGAAAAAATAAAAAGAAAGGGAGAAATTGGTAAAGCAAGCAAGGGAAATGCAGCTGATGGAATGAAATCCTCAAGAAGATGAGAGCCGTTGAAATCTGTGGCTTTAGCTGACTTACCTTTAGAGAGTCATGGAATGTCTATTCCATTCTAGCAGGAAAAATACAAGATGAATTTATAAGGTGATTTTTTTAAGACTTGAAGGTGAAAGGATGAGGGAATTATCTTTTATAGCTTCTACTTTCTCAAAAAACAATGGGTGAGAAGTCACATAAATATAAAAGTCAATAGGAAACAGGAAGGTGAAAGTGAACAAGAAACATGAAGACTCTGCAAGTCTGAGGTCATTTGGGTTTGTTTGAAGATAGTGGAAAATATGTGAAATATAAGCCAGAGTAAGAAAATTGATTCATTTGGGAGATGTAAAACTGAGAAATATGGCAGTCCATTTGTGAAATATTTTTGCAGTAATACTCAATTTCTTTTCTATGCTATTTTTTTTTTCTTTTTTTGAGATGGAGTTTCACTCTTATTGCCCAGGCTGGACTGCAATGGCGTGATCTCGGTTTACTGCAACCTCCATCTCCCAGGTTCAAGCGATTCTCCCGCCTCAGTCTCCCAAGTTGCTGGGATTACAGGCACCCGCCACCATGCCCAGCTAATTTTTTGTATTTTTAGTAGAGACAGGGTTTCACCATGTTGGCCGGGCCAGTCTCAAACACCTGACCTCAGGTGATCCACCTGCCTCGGCCTCTCAAAATGCTGGGATTACCGGCGTGAGCCAGCGTACCCAGCCGCAATACTCAATTTCTCATAAAGAAACCACGGAGAAAGCAGATGATTTGGTTAAGCCAGCTTTGAGGTTTGGTCAGGAAAGTATGCCAGAGAGACAACAAAATAATTGAGGCCATTTTCAGGGAGTGACTATAATGATCAAACTTGTTCTCTAAATTAGGAAAGCAGAGTGTAAATATAGAAAGTGGGGAAGAACAGAGTACCAGAATTGAGGCAAATTGGTGGGGTTAATCGTACGCATGTTGGATGTTATTGGGGGGATACAACTGATAGTGGAATGGAAGAAAAACATGTGGTGGTTAGTGAACGAAATGTTAAATGGAGAGTTTTAATACAGTATAGTTATTGGTAATGACAAAGACCAGAGTTTGACAACGTAAGTGGGTAGCTGATATGGGGAAGAAGAAAAAGATGGTCATAAGTGAGGAAGTCAAGGAGCTGAGAGATCAGTTGTTAGATGGGCAATTCACATGAATAAAGATGTCACCACTAATAAAGTCATGCATTGAGATGGATGGGAGATCTGGGATGGAAATGCAGTGAAACAAAAGTGAAATCTTCCACCAATAAACAGTGGATGACAAGTCACATGGAGATACAAGTCAACAGGAAACATGAAGATGAAAGTGAATAGGAAACATGGACTCTATTCTCAATCTAGTCATTTTATACTTTTGTTGTTAATTTCAGCATTGCAACAACCACTATCCTTTAAATATACCTGACTGCAAACACATGCTTTTTTTTTTTTTTTTTGAGATGCAGTCTTGCTCTGTCACCAGGCTGGAGTGCAGTTTCAGGATCTTGGCTCATTGCAGCCTCCGCCTCCTGGGTTCAAGTGATTCTCCTGCCTCAGCCCCCCGAGTAGCTAAGATTACTGGGATTACAGGCATGTGCCACCACACCCAGCTAATTTTTGTATTTTTCGTAGAGATGGGGTTTCACCATGTTGGCCCGGATGGTCTCTGTCTCTTGACCTCGTGATCCACCCACCTCAGACTCCCAAAATGCTGGGATTACAGGCATGAGCTACTGTGCCCGGCCAAACACATGTTTTTACTAATCTATCTTCCTTACAGTTATGTGCTTGCATGATTGCCTTTAACTTTTATACCATATTTTTTATGGTAGTGTGTTACAATTTTGTATGTAGCTCATCATTACCATAATAATCTATGGAATGGTATTGGTATGTGAATTTTATTTCTTTTCCTTTTCTTCCACCTGGAACTGCCTTTAAAAATATTTTAAGTATATTTCTAGCATATATCAAAAATAATATGTTTCCAGATAAACTGTAAACATACAATTATTATTTAAAGATAGAATCTTGCTCTTTTGCCCAGGCTAGAGTGCAGCGGCATGATCACAGCTCACTGCAGCCTTGAACTCCTGAGCCCAAGGGATCCTTCTGTCTCAGCCTCCTAATAGCCAGGACTACAGGTTCATGACACCACACCCAACTAATTTTAAAAATTTGTCTGTAGAGACGTGGTCTTGCTGTGTTGCCCAGGTTGATTTCTAACTCTTGGCCTCAAATGATCCTCCTGCCTCAGCCTCCCAAAGTGCTGGGAAATAAACATTATTATAATCCTCCTTTCCCATAGTGTTTCCCCAAATTTGGCTGCTTAATTAAGTCTTTCCTGCTTCTTTGTGCACAGAACTCTTTATTTTTTCTTTCTGATGGCAGTTCTATTATTTGACTTCCTCTGTTGTCATTTCTATTTTAGTTTCTAACAATTCCATGACGTCTTTGCTGATTACTATGTTTCATATAAATTTATGATTAAATCATACACACAAAAACACTCACATACTATTATTGTCTTACATGAAACAGTGGTCTGTTTAATACCTGTAAAAATATATAACTCTTCTAGTCATTTTTGGTGCTAGGCCAATTATGTTAATTAGACTATATTGAGCAAAGTACATATTTCCAGTTTCTGCACATATATTATTCAATTTGATCAAGCTTCAATATATAAAAGCTTTTTTGCAAAATGTAGTGTCAAAATGTTACAGTCTTTGGTCAGAATCTTGGCAGATTAAGTCAATTAAAAAGGTCAAAATGAGGGTTTTTTATTTTACAGGAAGTGCAAATGTACAGAATCTATTATCTAATTAAATGCAAGTCTGTAATTCAATGTTAGGATAGAGAATATAAATGCATCCAAGTCAGGAAGTGAAAAAAGTTGGTTTATTAACAGTAGTCAGATATAAGATTGGCTGTCCAGTTCTTTGCCATCTTATTCATCCTCCCTTTGCTGTTCTGGAAAACCTTCATATCCCTGTATAGATACAAACATTTCCTAGTTAGTCAAGCTGTCTGCTTCAATTTTTGGTTATTTGAACATCTGTCGAATTAAGGCTGCCTGTTTAGCCACAATGAGGTCTTCCATGGAAGTTATAGCTACTGTCTATATTAGATTATTTCCACCTTCTGCTTGGTTTAATACCAAATAATAGCACCAATTGACTCATTCATTTAACAAATATTCAGTAATTATCTATTGTCTCCTTTGTGCTGCTTTAGAAAATGAGGATATAACAATGAACCAGCAGACCAAAAACCTCCACAAAAACCGTAAACCCCAAACCACCCAAAAGCCGTGCCCTCATTTGCTTATATTTTACTGCGAGGAGATACACAATGAAATAAATAAGTTATATAACTATATTAGATGATAATTAGTGTTCCATAGAACAATAAGAGAGCACCAAATAGGAAAATTAGGAGTAATTGGGTAAAGCTACAATTTAAAATAGGGGGTTCAGGAAGGAGCTCAATGAGACAGTAACATTTAATTTAAAAAAAAAAACTCTGCCAATGTGAGAAAATGAGGACGTTAGTTATTGGCTTGATGAGGTATTACAATGCTTCATCAGGAGGAAGATTATCCCTGGAAGAAGGAGCAGCAGGTGTAAAAGCCCTAAGGCTGGACCTTGTCTGGCTGTGCTTGAGGAACCGCTGGAAAGCTGATGTGGATGGAGAGAAGTGAGGCAGGATGAGAGCAGAGGAAAATGAGGTTGGAGACTTCAGGGGTGCCAGCTCATGGAGGGACTTATAGGCCATCGTAAGGATGCTGGCTTTTCTCCTTGTTGATATAGGAAATGAGTAAGCAGAGAAATAAGAATATCTGACATAGTTTTAAAAAAGACACTCTGCTGAGAATAGACTGCATGGAGGTTCAGGGTAGAAGCAAGGAGTACAGTTGGCATAGATGAAATAATCCAGGTTGGAGCTTCTCGTGGCTTGCACTAGTGTATTGGGGGCAAAGATGGTAAGGAGAGGTTGGATTCTGAATGTATTTTAAGGACAGAGCCAACAGTGGCAATGTATTACAAAAATACACATTGGAGTGCATGGTGGTGGAAGTAAAGAGACTAAAAACCCTGTACTTTTTTTTTTTTTTTAATTGGGGAGGCATTTTTTTTCTCCTAAGCAGCACAAGTGTTCTATAAAAGTAATGGCTGGGTTCTGTTCATTGGAAAGAAACCATGTTAGTATACTTCCTTTCTTCCAAGAAAATCACCAGAATAGCTTGTGTGAAACAAGTACCCTCACAATGGTCTGGAGAACAGAATGTAAAAACGGCTCGTCAGAATCAGAGAATAGGCTTAGCTCTGAAGGTGGACGGGACTTTAGAGCCCCTTCATCTATGCCATGGACACTAGAAGCTTGAAAAGCTTCTTGGGGAGGAGGGTGGTTTGTGTCTGTGGAGGATGGTGTGATAAATTTGGATAAGGATAAGCTCAAAATTGTTACAATAGACCTGATACACTTGAATGGAATCAAATGAGGCTGGCAAACAGACCAAAAGTCTCCCTTACAGAAAACCGTCCATGTAGCTTTTTTGGATTAAGCATTAAGCATTTTGGTAAAGGTTAAACATCAGGTCATGAGATTTTAAAGATAAAAGCTCTATCCAACCCAGGATAAAGGTACTGCTGGAACATTCTCTGGCATAGTGACACTGACCTGGAACTGTTGAGAAAATGATGGCATGTATAGGAAACAAAAGAGTTAGTCATGAAGCTTTGTCATACCTCATTAAGCCGATAACTCAACGTCACATCCAATGAGAGGTCTTCTCTGAGGGATGTACCAGGCACAAATATTTGATGAGAAAAAATATAGCAAAAGAATAAATAACTAAATCGAGTGGGCATTTCTTAATTTCACTCTAATTCTCTGATTAAAAGTTGTATGCTTTGTAGGTACATTAATTCTATTAGGTGTGAAGGTTGCACTTATTTCATGGAGTATTAACTGAGGAGTTCTTGAGCAGTCTGAAATAATTAGTGCAGCAATATAAGTATCCAAATATTTTTGCCATGTATTATTTTAAGGTCTTGGAAAATTTAGGTTTCTGCATCATGTATTTTGCTTTTGTTAGTGTTGCATATGTAGTATACTGAAGAAATCTGATGACTATATTTATGATGGTATTAATACAATTATTTTATTTTATAGATCCTACCTAAAAGATAAAAATTAAAAACATTGGCGCTTATTTAAAAGGAAATCTTCCCATATGATTAAGAATTTGTGTTCTAGAATCAAACTTCCCTGTGGTCACTTTCAGCTATTTTCTAGCAGTGTGATTGGGGCAAATTACTTAGTCTTTGTATGCTCAGTTTCTGCTTAGGCAAAATGAGGACAATAATACTTAATAGGCAGCTGCAAAGACTAAGTGAAGAGCCTATGTTTATGTCTATTTCTGTGATGTGTAGATATGTACATATAGATATAGAGATTTGTAGATACCCTGATATTAATACCTAATTCATGATAAGAACTAAAAATGTTAGCTTTTGCCATTCTTGAGGATAGTTTTTCAAACTATTATTTTTGGTTTTTTTGCACTGTTGAATTATACTGTTTACTCATTTATTCCTGCAACAAATATTAACAACCTACTCTGTGCTACACAACGTGCTGGGTATTAGGCATATAGCTGCAACCTAAATGGACATAATACCTTTATTCATAGATATTACAATAGAAAACATAAAAGTAGTTAGAATATTTCAAAAGGAAATGCAAACCTGCAAAGTGAAATAAGTTTCTAAACGTGTATATACCAAGGCAAATCTAAGCTGCAATAGTTATTTTGTTTCATCCTTTGTTGTTCTTAAAGTTATATTTAAGATATAACTTCATGATTATGGTCATAGCCAGATGAAGAGTGAAAAAAGAAAACATACTCTAGGCAGAAGGTACAGCAGGGGCCAAGAACCAGAGGCAAGAAAAATAATAATTTGTTTGAGAAACTAATAAACTCATCATCTTTGGAGTGGAAGCAGTAAAGGGGAACTAACTGCATTTGATGTTGTAGAGGTAGAAAGTCATGAGACTGTGTACAATCTGGTAAGCCTTGTTGGAGATCATAGCTTGGGAAGTCATTGTAATAATTTATGGCAAGAGTAACATGATCATATATGCATTTCAGGAAAGATGACTCTGAAATTAGATAATGAGGTGGAGGAAGGCAGCTGAGTGGTTGCAGTGAGAATAGTGAGGAGGTGATTGCAGAAGTTTGTTAAAGAAATGACGGTGCATTGATGAGCGCTTTAATGGAAGAAAATAGGTAGAACCAAGAACTTTAGGATGTAGAATCAAAAGAATTTGTAGTTAGTTGGATGTGAGAAGGAGTGAAAACCAGGGAATAGCTAGGAACATGCCCCAGATTTCTGGATGGATCACCAGAGGCTGGGGTGCCATTTTAACAAATAGAAAACACAGAAAAGGAGTAGGTAGTACAGGGCAAACTGAAGCATAAAAGATAATACATATTGTTTCCAACTGGAATTTGTGAATGTGTTAGAATCAAGTAGGCAGTTGGATATGTGGTTCAGAATTCAGGAGAGAATTCAGGAGATATATGTGGTCTGGATGTAGGTAAATTTTTACACACCCCGAAATAGCTATTAAAGCCCAATGAAAGGAATTAGATATCTATAGGGATAGAGAATAGCTAGAGAAGACAAGGAGATGTAGGAGAAAAGTTGAGAAATTCATTGATGGAAAAGAAAGAACAAGCAAAGAAAACTAAGAAGGAATGGCCAGAGAAATAGTCAAAAAGCTAAGAGAATATGTGACATGAAAATTTAGTAAAGAGAGAGTTCCAAAAAGGAGGAAGCAGCCAGCAGTTCAAATTCTTTCAAAAATTAAAGTAAGGTACAATAAACACATTGCAATTGAATTTTGGAGTGGGTAAGACATTAGTGACTTTGATAAAAGCAGTTTCCCTGTATTTATGTAAGTTGAAACAAGGTTGGAATAAACTGGAAATAAAAAATGTGATGGACTGGAAAAAAGAGCAATAAACACATTACGTAAGTTTGGGTGGAGAGAAGAGAAATAGGATAGTTAACTGGGCTATTGGGTTGAGGACAGATGCTTTTGTTTTATTTAATTTTATTAAAATAGGGCAATATGAACACACTTTAAAGCAGGTGGGATGGAGGTTAAAAATGCAGTTGTGTTAGTTGAGAGATAGATAATTAATAGCACAAGGTTTAGGGAAGGGTGAAACAACTGGAATCTATCTGGAGAATAAAGGGGAGGATTGGCCTTGAAAGGGATAAAAGGGATTTTGCCCTTTGTATCAGGAGGAAAGGAGGAAGAATGGGTATAGCTGTATGTGACATGATATCTTCTGTAGTGACAATCGAAGGACATTTCTCATATATCTGCAGATAGTGTGAGGTAAGTTGAAGGATTTAAGTTTAAGCAGGTAAGAGAAGGTTTGATATAGTCATTATGTGGAATATGGAAGAAAGCATTTCAGGTAAACTTACTCAGTCTTGAGATATTTTAAAACTGCCCAACTGAAGACTGTTACATTTTTTGATGTCAACTTGTGTAATAGTTAGATATTTCTCAACCTAGACTATAAGTACGGAGAAAGTGCTTAGTGTATTCACCTAGAGATAGGGATTTGGCATGTGTGCATGGGAAAAGTAATTTTAGGAATGGAAGGAGAGTAGTAGATAATTTGTTGAATCAAAATGGGGGAATATAAACAGACGTGAAGTTGATATAAATAAATAATATAGACAGAGTGGATCGATATAGATAAATGGATGTGTACATACACATACACATATTTATGTACTTAGGGTAATGGTGCCATAGATTCAACAATATTTTAAAGACAAAGTGTAAGTGCAATAGCAGAGTGACATATACAGAATTTTAGGAGATTGTGGTCAAACAGTGAAATTTCTGAAGCAAGTTTTATGTGATTGCTTCGTTTACTTTATGGTTAGACAAGTGTGTAGTTAAAATAAAATGGTGGAGAATGTCACTGGAGACGTAGAATTTGAGATGTAAAATTCAAAATGTAGAATTTAAAGCTGATAGTGCAGTTTGACCAGAAAGGAACAATGTGGTCTGGGTGCCAAGGTTATTAGTGAATAAGAAAAAATGACCAAGAGACTGGCAGATAGTACAGAGGATGAGGAGGGTTGGAGAGCTGAAATGACAGGCCACAGATGAGCAAGGGTAATGGTCTGAAAGCAGCGCTAGGGGACAATGATGACAAAGACCCAATTCTACATAATTTCGTGTGGTGTGAGGGGCAATGTGTGGCCTTTGCTTGAGAGAAATGTGAGGGATATGGTGTTCTCAGTAGATAAGTAGTTTACATTTAAAGTTAGAAGGTGTAGAGAGCATTCAGTAAAAATTTAACAACATAAACTGTGTATAAAGACAAGTGCAGACACTTATTTATCTGGGATATTGGGTACATATAATGATATGTGTATGTTCACCTTTGTAGCAAACTGCTAAGCTATTTTCCAAAGTGAATGTACCATATTCCATTACTAAATACATTTATGAAAGTTTAATTTTATCCATATCATCACCAATATTTGGTGTTTTTAAGTTTTAGCAATGGATGGGGGTGTCTCAGTTTTAATTTGCATTTCTTTTCTAAAAAATTTTTGTTTTTTGAGATGCAGTTTTGCTCTTGTTGCCCAGACTGGAGTGCAATGGCATGATCTCAGTTCACTGCAACCTCTGCCTCCTGGGTTCAAGTGATTATCCTGCCTCAGCCTCCCGAGTAGCTGGGATTACAGGCATCCGCCACCACGGCCAGCGAATTTTTATATTTTTTAGTAGAAACGGGGTTTCACCATTTTGGCTAGGCTGGTCTCGAACTCTTGACCTTAGGTGATCCACCCACCTTGGCCTCCCAAAGCACTGGGATTACAGGCCTGAGCCAGCACACACAGCCTTAATTTGCATTTCTAAGATGGCTAATGATATTGTGCACTGCTTCACCCATTTATTGACTATATATTTGCCTTTCGTGAAAACTTTAAGTCCTTTGTCTGGAGTGTTGATTGGATTATTTTCTTATTGAGTTGTAGTTGTTGTTTATATATTCTGGATACAAGCCCTTTGTTCTAAAAGGAAACAACAGACACTGGGGTCTACTTGAGAGAGGAGAGGGTGGGAGGAGGGAGAGGAGCAGCAAAGACTGCAATTGAGTACTGGGCTTAACATCTGGGTGATAATCTACAAACTACAAACCCCGGTGACACATGTTTACCTATATAGTAAACCTTCAAATGTACCCTCAAACCTAAAATAAAAGTTAAAAAAGTCCTTTGTTCTGTTTACGCATATGTGCTCATTTGTGTGCATGTGTGTTTAAGTATACACACTCATACTCATATGCAGACGTATATACACATACATGTAAAATTTTCTCCTAGTTTTTGTTAATGGTGTAATTTGAAGAGTAGAAGTTTTAGATTTTTATGAATTCCAATTATCAATTTTTATGGTGTTTCCTAAGACATCTTTGTTTATCCAATAATCATGAAAAATTTCTCCTTTTTTTCTAAAAGTTTATAGTGTTAGCATTACACTTAATTCTATGATCCATTTCAGGTAATTTTTGAGAATGATATGAAATAAGGGTCAAATTTAGTGTTTTCTGTAATGATTTCCAGTTACTCCAACACCATTTGGTGAAAACATTATCTTTCATTTTGTTTAATGACCTTACTACATTTGTGAACATAAACTGATCTTACCTGTACATCTAATTTAGAACTCTCTCTTCTCAGCCAGTGTTCTAGATACACTTTCAGATAACATAAATTTGCTTTTTCTTTTTCAAAATTATTTCAGCTATTTAAAATCTTTTGCATTTTTATATTAATGATAAAATCAGCTTATACATTTCTACAAAGAAAAGCTTGCTGGAATTGTAATTGGGATTGAACTGAAACTGCAGAAAAATTTGGGAAGAATCAACATTTTAACAATACTGAGTCTACCAATAAACTGAAATGGTGTATAGCTCGAATTATTTATTTCTTTTTGTCTCATAAATTTTCTTTGAGTTTTCAATGTACATGTCTTTCATATTTTGTTAAGTATACTCCTGTTTCACATTTTTATGTTATTCAAGACAGTATTGTTTACAATTTTTATTTTATAATCATTTATTACAATTAATTACTTTAATTGGTGGCTATATTGAACTAATATTTTTTGAGTATCTGCTGTATGTAGTTGCTTGTTTTATCCTGGAGTTACCATGATTAGTAAAATCATAGGCCTTCTCTGACTATGAGTTTACGATCTAGGAGAAGAAACAGACATTGATAAAAGAGTCACATATTAAGTGCAATAAAAGAGGACTACCTACTTCTTTTTTTTTTTTTTTTTTTTGAGACGGAGTCTCGCTGTCGCCCAGGCTGGAGTGCAGTGGCGCAATCTCGGCTCACTGCAGGCTCCGCCCCCTGGGGTTCACGCCATTCTCCTGCCTCAGCCTCCCGAGTAGCTGGGACTACAGGCGCCCGCCACCTCGCCCGGCTAATTTTTTGTATTTTTAGTAGAGACGGGGTTTCACCGTGTTAGCCAGGATGGTCTCGATCTCCTGACCTCGTGATCCGCCCGCCTCGGCCTCCCAAAGTGCTGGGATTACAGGCGTGAGCCACCGCGCCCGGCCGACTACCTACTTCTTTAAGGGATATAATCAAGTAACTTGACCTTAGGAGGAGAGTACAGAAAGTTTTCCTGTGAAAATGCAAGGTGTTGAAGTCTGAAGCCGGAACAAGCATTGACTAGGTTAGCGAGGAGTGAAGCACATTCTATCCACAACAAGGAACATGAGAAACGACCTGTGGTGGGAGGAAACACAGTGAGGTTATGGTTCTGAGAGATGATCATGGTAGTTAGGAGAGAGCGAGGAGAAGCGCAATGTTAGATTTTGCAGGAGAGATACCTTAGTGGCTAGATAATGATCTTGAAGCCAAATCTCTATTCTAAATGGCTTTATGCAGGAGCATAAGATTATAATAGTTACATTTTAAAAAGATCAGTATGGCTGCCATGTGAAGAGTGGATTGGAGTAAAGCCATAGTTGAATTAGAGAGGACAGTTAAGCGGGTACAGCAATAGTCCAAAGTGGTGGCTTGAACTAGCATGGTGAATTGGAAATGGAAAGAATTGGATATATTCAGGAGGTAATTTAGAGAAAAAATACTAACAGAGTTAGTGATAGCTTGAATATGGCAGGTAAGGAAAAGGGAGGAGTTGAGGGATGGCGTCAGTGTGCCAAACGTATGACAGTGATATTTTTAAGAAAAACAAGAGGGCATGTGAAATAGATATATGATAAGTGTGCTTGGTGCTCAGTAAATAGGTCTGAGTAGAAGATAAACATTTACCGCCCAATAGGAAATAGCTGTCAGGTGAAATCTTAGGTGAAGATACAATGATTTTAGTGAGAATTACAGAAAGGGAGAAAGGGCCACTCTCAATTCTTGTTCTTCCTCTTTCTACTTCAAGTGTATTTCAGCTAGAAGTATGTCAAGACTATCCTGTGCATCTTGTCTTTTCCTCCTGAAGTTTCCAGTTTTGTCAGTTTTCTACTTTGATTTCTTATGTTTGTGCTACCTTTACAATAGTATACTTGAGATGCTGCACTTGTAACATTATTCATCTTTTATTAGTTTTGTCAAGTTCTATAAAATTACTATTATTAACAAGAATAATGATAGAGAATAATTTGTCACAATGCTGATAATCCCTCATGTAACACTACAAAATTGACAAATAACAGAGATTTATTGAACAAGCATCTGAGCAGTCATATTTACTTTGTAGTGTATCACTAGAAAGATATAAAATATGAAAGAGTTTGCCTTAATTTAATAGACTGAGGAAGAAAAATTGAAAATGAAATAGGGGTGATGTGTTATAGTATTTATATTCATAAAATATTAAAATTGTTTAGCATATATAATATTATTGTGCAAAATCAGCCTTTAAATTATTTATTGTTATTACTAGGATATCTCCTATCTCTTTTTTTTTTCAAAATAACATCACAGTTTGAGGCATTTTAAGTCCAAATAGTAAGTGTTTCATTTTACTAAAAGTGAACAGTAAGAAGTGTCCTGATAATACATAAATTGTTCATTCCCCTTCTAGGTGCCATCTACTATTTTATTTATTCATAAAGCAATCCTTAATCTGGGAGCTGAGCCAGTAAATTGATTTCATTTTCATTACTTATAGCAGCTTTTTGGATAGGAACCATTGTTCTAACTAAGTAAAATTGGGGAACTGTTTCCTGACAACCTACAGGAAAAAATATGATTTCCTATAATAAAACATTGAACTACGTCCAACTCAGAGAAATATGCTGAATTCATAAACAGAAAATTAAATGCCCTAATGTAGAATGAATATAGATGTTATGGCCACTGGAATTGTTCTTAAACTTGAGCTGCTATTACTTATGCAAAATGTCTATGGAAGATGAATGGCCCATTGTTGAACCCATTGAACAAAAAGCTTTGATTTCTAGCAGTGATTTTAATCAAGACTCATTATATGACTTAGAATAAGATACTTAAAAATTCCATGCTTCTGTTTTATCATGTGAACAAGAAAGAAAAATATACTTTCTCTCTGCCCTTGAACTCTTAAATTATAAAGAATATTAATGCTGAAGGACCCCACTAATATGAACGCAAAAACTTTGTAATTAACAAAAATCATTTAAATCCACACACCAGTTAGATAAATTAATCCTAAAATAAATTGGGTGCGTATATACTTAAAAATTCTTAAATGCTGTATATACCAAAGTATATGTTCCATCTTAACTAATGAAACTCTTTCCACTCTGCTGGGCTTATTTTTAGAAATAGAGAAAGGTCCCATCTTGACTGTGAAGAGAAAGCATAGATGTCAGATATGAAAGTCAGGAGGCTTTATTTAACAATTACAAGTTGAAAGCTATTCTGGCCATGAAGTCTTGAGATACTATAAAGACATCTTGATTTATCTTCAACAGGAGCCTTATATAGGGAGACAGATAATTCATTATTTGTAGCTGTTTTTCATTCTTACACTTTGATGGCAGGGAATATTTATGTCTTGCTCAGTGCTAAAATTTGTGTAGCTTTCACAGTCTCTTGCACATATTAATGCTCAATAGATATCTGAGGAAGAAACAATATTAAACAAAATATCCACTCACTTATTCATAAATGATTTTTTATAGAAATAGTAACTATCTTGGGTTTAAGGATACAAAGATGAATCAGATGCACATAAGGAGGTCTGTCAGAGAATAAAGACAAACAAAAAGATATAATTTTAATAAAATATTAACTTAATAGGACATGAACATTGATATAGGTGGTGTTTTTTAATGAGGCCATTTTTGAGGGATGCATTCCTCAACAATAGCATAAAGACTGAAAGCATTTTGGAATTCATTTGCAAATATTATGTTATTGTGAATTCTATTACGAAAGATTTTATTATTTCATTCTTAGAGCAAAATGGTTGTCTGAGGCTTTATTGTTAACATTTTGAATACAATTTATTGACTTAAACATTTAAAAAATACATCATCTACCTTCTAAAAAATATATATGTCACCAATATAAGAAATATTTAGAAGTGATTATCCAGGATCAGTTGAAAAGAACTAGGGTAGCCAAACGCCTCACTCACTCTGCTCCTGCATCCAAAGGTCAGACTCAAAAATACAGACCAATAAGAGTTTAACTTTTATGTCAATCTTTCATTCATCCTTACATTTATTCATTTGATAAATGTTTATTAAGTGCTTACTATATGCTGGTAAGGTGCTGGACATTGGGCAGGAAGTGATAAATAAAACTGATTCTTCCTGGCAGAAATATGGCAGGCACACAGGCCTGAGACTGGAGTACGGCTTCCTACTTCTTCCTCCGCAAACTAAAGACAGCGAGCCCCAGGGTGCTAATCCAACTGAGCTGCCACTCCAACTACAATTAGCGAAGCTGAACAAGAAAGGAGAGATGGAAAACCTGCCCCTAAATGAGGTTTCCTAACCTCATGTGTTTTCCAGTGAAGCGAATTACAAAGGCGAGTTCAGAAAGAAAAATGAACCGGGGAACCTGAATCTTGCCTTGAGGCATAGAACTGACCCAGATTAGTAAAATATGGCACAGAAATTACAGACAATGCACAATAGAATGAATACTTGAGGAATCAAAAAGCAAAAAGTATAAAACATTATCATATAATGAATATCACGTAATAGAAGCATCATAAAATGAAGCATATAATGAGTATGATATTTGAGAGTAGAAAAGTAACATCTGTCCTTGTTTAAAACAAATCGTAGATTACATATTAGTGGCAAGGTAAATAAATACTAGAGAAGTCTTGAGTGAGAAATCTATTCAAGATGGCATAATTAAGACTTCAGAGAAATGTTAGTTTCTGAGCCAGGCAGAGAAGGGCAAGTTATTTCATTCAGTATTTAACAAATATTTGCCAAGAATTGACTCCCTGCCAGTAATGAGACTGGTGGCCTTACTTCTAAAATGGAAGGTTGAGCTGAATGATCCTTTTTAGTTTGAGCCACCCACTACATAATCTAATGCTGCGGGAAATTTTGGTAGGTGGGAGGAACAGGAGAAAGGGGTGGTAGGCAGAATCATGGCCCGCAAAGGTTTCCATGTGCTAATTTCTCAAACCCATGAGTATATTATCATACATGGCAAAAGGAACTTTGCAGGTGTGATTACATTAAGAACCTTGAGATAAGATTATCATGGATTATCATAGTGGACCTAATCTAATTGTATAGGTCTTTAAAATTGGAGATCATTTTCTAGTGTGGTAAGAGACAGGGAGATATGACTACGGAAGAATGGTCAGCAAGCTGTAACATTGAAGGCTTTGACGATGACAGAATGGAACCACAAACTAGGAATTATAGGTGGCCCTTAGAAGCTGAAAAAGGAGCACAGCTCTAAATACACGTTGATTTTAGCCCAGTGAAACCTGTGTTAGACTTCTAGCCTACAAAAATGGAAGATAATAAATTTGTGTTATCCTAAGACACTAAATTTGTGGCACATTGTTATATAAGCAACAAGAAACTAATGTAAAAGTGTTCATATAAAGATAGTATGGTTCATGATGCAGAGGGAGAAAAGCATGGAACAATGTGATGAATAGAAGTTAAGGAATCAGTAAGAAATTTGACTGAGATGTAGGGTGTGTGTAGAAGAATAACAGAAGATGAATTAGTATAAATAGGTTGAGTTAGGTTATTTAGGTTAAGGCCTTGAAATACATGCAATTTTTTATGACAAAAAATGATATGAAGTTATCATATGTTATTGAGCAGTATATAATTTGTCTTCAAATATTAGGCAAAGCATTTAAGACTATTGTTCTTTGTTTTTTGAGCAGTCATTAAAACATAATTCACAAAAGTCAAATATAAGGCCTTATAAAATGAATAATAATATAGACTGCTTACTTAAAGAATTAATTCTGATAATTTCACAAGATCTTATGTCTTCTTTATAATTTTCAAAATAAGATTAACTCTGGGGAACTATCATTATTTAGATAAAATTATGACCATATGCATACATAACCTATGATTATTTGAATAGCAACAATAACAATGAAACAGAAGCCTGTTAGTTAATAGTCTTCAGTTCATGCAGCAAGTGTATGGTATCTTATAGAAATTTTCATTAAATTATAAAACAAAAACTTACCTTCTAGGGACTAACCTTAGAAGCTAAGATACCCCTTGCAGAAAATTTAATTCGGAACAAGTTGTGCTGCTACTACCATGGAAATATGAATGAGTAGATAAAGCAAGTCTTTTAGGAGAAAGATAGGTTTATTAGGATTATCAGGCTCTAAATGGAGAGTTAATAAAATCCTCAAATCCTGCTGCTCTATTAATGAAAAAGACTCACTTGCAAAATCTCAGTGGGAAGTTATAATCTTTGCCATGTCTTAAGTAGCTAACTAGTCCAACTTTGCAACTGAGTATATTTAAATGGGCTTTTCTTAAGAAGGAAAAAAGAAGAACACAGGGAAAAAAAGGATATGTGGGAGAGCAGGAGAGAATGAAGAAGCAAACAGAAGGATTTCCAAGGAAGCTAATATTTATGAAAGTGTAAATTAGCTTAAAAATCTGATTTATTAAGTGAGCTCTTTTTGAGTGTTTGGTTACTTTTGGCCATGAGAAAAATGGGATGGGGGAACTGTCTTTCCTTGCTTTTGAAAGAGGGGCAATCTGCTATGTCTTTTTTTTTTTTTTGCCATTCTTTTGGCAGCTTGTAGATATCATACATCATAACATTCCACATAGGTACAAAATGGGTTAAATGGAAATTTGGCAAGCTACATCACATTCATAACCCAGTAACTGACTGCTTGGAAGACATTTATTTGAAAATTTATTGTAACTTTGGCTTTTAAATAAAATCTAAACAATGTTATTTGATTTTATGTTCACCAAAACAATGAACATTTAGAAAATTCTGGCAGCACCATGTGCTTGTGAGAATATAGAATAAAGGGAACCCTTATATGTTGGTAGTGGTTGTATAAATTGATGCAAGTTTTGAGAGCAATTTGGCAATATCTACTTAAATTGACCAGGATCCAGCATTCTGATTCTAAGTGCTTCAGGATTTACTTCAGAAAAACTCTTGCATATGTGCACAAGAAAATATGCAGAACTATTCAATATTACATTGTTGTTTATGGTAAAAACCTAGAAACAACCTAAATGTCTATTACTAAAATTGGATATGTTTATATACAGCAGTCACAATGAATAAAGAAAATCAATACAAAAATGTTGAGAGAAAAAGGCAATCTCTTAAGAATTTATACAATATGTTACCTGTTATTTCAAATTTGGAAACATAAAATAATATATGCTATGTGTAGACACACACATATATATTTGCACGTAAAGAGTATACCATATATTTGTACATAAAGAGTATAAAAACAAGGATGGGAAGTGTGCAGTTCAACTTCAGAACAGTGATTATATCCAGAATGTAAGGGGGATGATTGCACGGAATAGAATCAATTAGGTTGCTCAAAAAGGACTTTGATCAAACCTTCATTTTTTGATGTCTTCTCACAATTATCTAAAGAAAATATATTAAAATGTTTATTAAATCTGAGTGGTGGGTACAAGGTGTTTGTGAGATTGCTTCTGCATATTTTCAAATTCAAACCAATTTAAAATTAAAGGGCCATCTTTAATTATTTAACCCTATGTCCTAATGATCTCATGCATAATCTATAGTGGTTTTAATTTGGCTTATTTTTTGTGGTTCTGTCAATCCTAGTTCAGTCTCAGAATCATATTTTTCACTTCAGACAATTTACCTATATTCTTACCTAGATTGTATGCTTATAGCACAGGAAGGCTTTCCAAGGCCATCATTTTGGTGATCCATTTGCAAAACTATTTCTCAAGTATTTAAAAATACCTATAAAACTAGGCTCTGCAATATTTTTATTAGGTTTTTTGTTCAAGATTAAATTAAATGCCCCCAAATATGATTCATTAAATACAAATTCTAGAAAAGTAAGGTCACCATTGAAAAATGTAACTTTATTCTAGACTGGCTAATTTGATTTATGGAGATAAATATGTTCCATTTCTGAGAAAAAGACCAGCTTGTCATTAGAGAATATCTTACTCATTGATACCAAGGGATTGTAATGGGGCAGCTTTGTTCTTTTATTTTCATCCTTGGTAGAGCAGCCTTGACCCCTTAGCTTGCTTCATTACCATCTTTCACAATAAATCATCAGCCCATCACAGACAGCCATTTAGAAAGCAATAATAACAATAGTTAACATTTAAAGAGCTTTTATTATTTGCAGCACTGTGATCAGCACTTTACATGCATTATCTTGTATGATTTTAGCAACCTATGATAAAGAAGCTGTTATTTACTTTTTCTAGGTTAAGGAGCTCAGGCTTAGAGGGATCAATGAAATTTCAAAGAATATAAGAACTGTAGGCAAATGATAGCATAATTCTAAATTGTTTTAAACGAAATTATTTCATTTGGAGTTTCGTTAATGTCCTAGTGAAAGAAGTCAATGCTTTGGCAAAGAAATCTGGAAATTGATACTTGCTGGTGAAAAGGGAGGGCTGCTGGGTATGACACAAGGGCTGAGACATACATGAAGTCTTCTAGCAGATGGAAGTAGATTCAATTCTTTTCTGATAATAGGGGGAGACAAGTTCCACATACTTGGTATATTTCTTTTCTTGGTTTGCATATAACTTGAGGGTCTCTTTGGAAGAAATGAATGTTTAAGTAGCTAGAAACAAGCAACAGCAATATCAGAAAAAAAAAAAGTTGAAGGAGGGATGGTTTAGAATGTGCACACCATGTGTAACAGATAGTTTTGGGGAAGAAGCCCATAGACAATTGTCCAGGAAAGGTGTGGGGCTGCTAGTAGACAGAGTCAACACAGAAACACAGTGAAATGTTGGGAAAGTCAGATAACTTAACACCAATGGAAATGCTGCAAAATTTTCCTGTGCCAACCCCGCAAAATAAAAGGATTTCAGATTAAAAGTGAATACATTTCAGAGACTGCGGTAATAAGAAAATCCTCAATATTCACAAGCAGCTTATATGGTTAATACAATATATATGTTACATGTTAGATCAGTGCTGTCCAAGAAAACTCTTCCTCTAGCCCAGGCCCAATTGGAATAAGTTTACATGAAAATAGTACTTTTTAATTTAAACTTTAATCTGTTTAACACCTCAGTCCTTCAACCTTCCCTCTTTAAGCCTCAGTCTTTCCTTTTCCTCTCCATTTACTCTTTGTTTCTCTCTTTCTAGAAACACGACTTTATAACCTATTATTATCCATACAACTCCATCATTCTGAGTTGTACTTCCTCTTGTGCTGTGTTAATACTTATTTGCCCCTAATTCTTAAGTTGATGTCTTTTTCTCTTCGAACTTTTGTTCTATTTCTTCCTTTGTCCAAACATCACCGCTCTCTGCCTTCATTTATTCCTTTAGATTGAAAAAAATTCTTTGTGTGACTAAAGTTTCTTAAAGCTTCTGAACCTTCTACCAGTCTATCTGTTTACTTCTTTCTAAAATCCAGTTTTAGCAAGAACCTTGCTAAGTCAGTTTAATAAGAACCCCCTGTTCCTGATATTTGGATCACCCTCAATATCTGATCAGGCTCTTCATCCTCCACCATTCTTTAGGTGACGTTTGATTGACCTAACCTACTTTCAACAAGAGTCCTGCTAGGTTGGTTTAGCTAGAATCCACCTTTACCTTGATGTTTCCTCTTAGTAATTTTCCATCCATGACCCCCACCCAGTTCTTTCACTATAAATTCCACTTGCCCATGCTGTATTTGGAGTCGAGTCCAATCTCTTTCCCGCAATGCAAAATCTCATTGCAGTGGTCTCTATACCTATCACCATGTTCCCCCAACTCTTTGAATAAAGTTGGTCTTATCATCTTTAATATGTCCTGAATAATTTTTTCTTTAACAGGATCTATGCTTTGCCCTTCACCCTGCTACTTATTCAGGGAGACTGATCTGTGTATCAAGAGGTTCTTTTAACCTCCGGTGAGCTTAGGCAGGATGTTTGCTACAGGAGATCAGAGGAAGGGGAAAAAGGTCATTGAGTTCATTCCCCTGCCTCCTTCCCTGTAGGATCACCTCATGTTAACTCTGCGTCTTGATCAAAAGTCAGAAAGCTTGTCAAAGTAGAGTTCTCTACAGAGCCCTCTCTTTGGCTTTCAGAAACCCTATTATCTTCTTTGGGTTAGGCCTAGGAATAATAATAGCTTAGTGATTTCTAGCCCTGGACTCTAGCAATATCTCTTGTGATTTCTTTATACCCTGCCCTACCTTGATAAGTAGTGCATTTATTAAACTCTCTTCCAATTATTTCAATTTGAGCATGTCGTATATTTCCTGTTGGAACCCTGACCAAAACAACCATTTTAAGGCACTTTTCCTTTATTTCACTTTTCCCTGATTTGTCCTAGGCCCCCACTTGCCTATTACGTGATTAGCACTCTGTTTCATTCTTTATTCCATTAGGGAGCTTGCAGAACAAAAATATTTTAGGATGAAAAGTCTAAGCATTCTAGTATCAACTTTGCCATGTACTAGCCTTGTGATTCTAAGTAAATCATTCATTTCCTCAGAACCTAAGTTTTTTTCATCTAAAAAAAAATGAGTGGAGCTATATTAGATAATCACTAAGATTATCTTCTGGTTTTAAGACTCTATAATTTCATAAAATAAAAAATATATAATCTTTTAACTAACCTCATTGGTCAACTCTAGCCTATGCTTTTGTATTATATATAAACAATTCAAATAGAAGAAAATAAACCTGAATGATTTCAAGATATAAAAATGCTAATTTTATATTAAAAACCAAAATAAATGGCTATCATGATTATGTTGCTTTGAAATTGAAATTGAAACAATAAAATTTTATCCAAAACTAGAAGCAAAATAAGAAAGTTAAGGGCAGGTAGTTACTTTCTTAATGCATAATGGTTATATGTACTTTGAACCTTTAGAATTCAATGAGTACAATTCAGTTATATTTTTAGGCATGGGCTACGGGAAGCGCAGTTGCTTTAAATGTTATCTATAAAAGCCTTAGCTGGCAGTTGAGCTTTTTCATTTCGTTTTTCTCTTATCTCTCTAGAAGTGAGGAGATAATTTTTAGAAATAAATAACATTCTAAAGCGGGGGAAGAAACACTCAACATTCAATGATCAGATCTTAGGGAATGCTTTGTTCCTATTTCAGCTAAAGGGTATAACACTGATTGAATGATTTTAAGTTGGGATTTTTGGCGACTGTTACATTGGACTTCATATTAAAATACCACAACATGATACTAGTGTTTCCAAATAAAATTGTGTATCTTTCTTTGGCTAGAAGGTGTTTTCTTTCAATGAAATGAAGCAAATGCACCTGTGTAGTTAAAATTCTTTATTTTTGTTGGTCTCTGGAAAGAAAAAAAATGTACGTAGTATTCAATATTTAAATTCCATTCTTGCGGCAGACCGATGTAGCCATACAATTGGCCACAGAATCCAGATTCTGCCATGGAATTTGCCCTGTGGATATCACGGTGTAGCCCCACTCTCATGTGGCCGACACGGAGGTGAGGGGGAGTATTCCATTTGCTTTGCTTTGGCTCTGGCTTAGGAAAATTGCCCAGGCAATTGCTTTTTGTAGCATGTAATGCTGTTAGTTCCTATCACACTGCTAACAGCCTCCCACCCTCAAGTAGACCACAAAGCAGAGAGAAGAAAGAAAACTTCTTCTTCTACTAACCATATTGGCTCAGTATCAATAGAAAACAGGAGCTTTTCAATCCTACCTCCTCAGACTCTTTGCGGATTTGGGGGCGCCAGAGTGGAATTACTTACTCTATCATGTACCAGGTATTACCTGGCATTGTGCAAATATTCTTTTCCTAATATATGTTTTAGAAAGAAATAAAATCTTCAGAAAAGTCCAAAAAAAAAAAAAAAAAAAAGGAGAGGGAGGGTCTGAATGCATATTCATGCATATCTTGTAACATTTAGTATGTTAAATGTGTGAATATGTTTTTATGTTTTTATGGATTGATACAAAACAATATTATGCTAGTAGATTCAAGCTAGCAAAATGAGGAGTGGACATCAAAATGTCAGCTTCTTGGCGGCATATGTAGCGCTGAAAATAACCTCTTTTCACTTTTGGAATCATAGTCACTGCATCTAATGGAGGTCAGTGTGTCATGCCTACCCTCCAGGCAAGTGGTGACAGGTGGCCATATAGGCTGAGAACACACATTTTACTTTTTTAAATGGCTTAGAGCTTCTTTCACAAGCAAAGCTTTATTTACTGTAAAGGTGACATTCTTTGGAAGAGATTGAAGAAAATAGTGTGCAATCTATTTATTTATTTATTTATTTATTTATTTGAAATGGAGTCTTGCTCAGCCACCCAGGGTGGAGTGCAGTGGCGCGATCTCGGCTCACTGCAACCTCCGCCTCCCAGGTTCAAGTAATTCTCCCATCTCAGCCTCCCGAGTAGCTGGGATTACAGACACCTGCCATGATGTCTGGCTAATTTTTGTATTTTTAATAGAGACGGGTTTCACCATGTTGGCCAGGCTGGTCTTGAACTCCTTAGCTCAGGTGATCCACCCACCTTGACCTCCCAAAGTGCTAGGATTACAGGCATAAGCCACTGTGCCTGGCTGCAATCAATTTATTTTTATATGTAATAAATTAATTTTAAAATATACAATAAAGCAGTATATTCAGTTGAACAGAAATAAATTAATTCACCAGTACTTAATTCACTTATTAAGGGCAAATTGCCCAGAGAAAAGAAATAGAAGTAAGACAGGAAGAAATGCTCAGTGTTCAATGTCATGTCTACTTAGGCAGTTTTCATAAAGGTGACAGAGTAAAGGAGATGAAGGCAATAGAGGCAATAAATGAGGTTTGTTTATTTTTATTGTTACCGCAAGTCTGACAACCCTCATTTAGTTTCTAATGGTTTGTTTTCCTGAACTCAAAAATGAAGTTCAGTCTCCTTGTCTATTAGACTAGCTGTTTTGTTGATAGACTTTTTGTTATGGAGATAATATTTATCTCTCAATACTTTGTGGGGTGGAACCAAAAAGGAGAGTAGAGATGTTTCTATTAAAGTAGCTGATTAACCTTAGTATAATAAAAAAGAAAACTTGAAGTAGGCTTGACAATTCAGAATAAAGCCAGTGCCTGACCAGGCTCTCAAAACTGTTACTAACAGAAAGTAAAGCATTCCATTTACTTTATTAACATAAAGTACTCTATTAACTGTCCCATATAGCGTGGAGCAGTATAAATTCCCATCTTTCTAAATGTATATGTTCAAGATTGCCCATTGAAAGGGGGGCCACTGTGATCTGGGAGCTGCTTCTATGCCATACTGAAAACCTCTATTCCATTATTAAATGGCACCACACTGTGCATCTCAAGGATTTGAGTACCTAACAAGTTAACTGGGGGATTCCCTTTTGTTTTAATGTTTTTTTTTTGGTGATTTCATGATCCAAACCAGTTTTAACAAATACACACATTTATCATAACTTTAGACTCCTTGAAATTTAATCAAAATAAGTCAGCCACGACCACTATTGCCAACTGAGACCATTGAAAAGGGGCCCAGGAATAGTGTAATTAGTTGCTATTACGTGGCTGCAAGCCTGCAATTTTCCTACTGACTCTGACCCACAGCATTGCTTAAGTAAGTATTTGCACGAAAACTAGTGATAATTGATCCCCTTCGGTGTCAAGTGTCTTCATAATTTTAAAAATTAAAGATGCAGAGTGTCTCAAGTGGTTTGTGTAGGCAATTTGATTCCAATTTTATTATCACAATGGGTCTATAATATGCATGAAGTGTCCTTTCTGATTAGCCATGCCTCAGCAGTTACTTTCTATTTCCGTTTTTGCTTCTCTTTCCCTACTTCTGTTCTGTCCTCTGTTCTGTCTTCTGTCCTATTCCAAGCTTCCTCACATTTTCTGAGAAAATGGAAGAGGCTGCTTGCAGAATTTACCTAGCTATTCAAATTAGCTGCCCAGAATCAGGATGGGCTAAGCCATGATAGCATTCCCTGTTAAACCAGCTGCCTCTGTTACATGCGAAAATGATTTCTTTCTTCAAAGTTTGGGGGGAAAATGTCTAGGTGATCAGGTACAGAAGAAAATTTTGCTGTAAATAGAATATTTTTTCTTAATTCTCTGAGAATCAAATTATAGAGAGTGAGGCAAATAGAAAAAAATAGTTTATTTAACAGAATGTATAGGGACAAAAAATATTCTTAGGACAAATTATAGCACACATGCACAGTACTATTTGTGAGTTGGATATGATTTAAGAAGCAAGTTATTTAGTCACAAGATCATTTTGTTTATTTTGTTTTCTTCAGATTCTTTTCTATTTCTATTTTTGCTCCGTCTCCTAGTAAAGTCAGTGATATTGTCTTTAATTTTCTATCAGGATATATATGATTTATTTTATTGGTGACTTGTAAAATGAAACAATAAAAACTCAAATTATGCTTTACTACAGGAACAGTTATGAAAGCAATGATAGTATTTAACTTCCGTAACAAATGCATCAGGGTGACATATTTTTAACTACTCTAAGGCCATTGTCTGTGCCTGAATTAGGATCATTGTGTGTTACAAGAGACCTTTCACCCAACAGTAGCTGAGAAATCCTAGCTGGACTAAATCAATACATCAGAAAACTCTGAAGTCTTCAATAGAAAGATTCCAAATTTTGTTACAAAATGACTAAAAACATATGGGGGTTTCATTTTATTTTACAGGAAAATGTGGCTCACTGAGCTCAAAAAGAAGGCTCTGTGCATGAAATCATGAAAACTACATGGGGCGATAACTTTAATCAAATCCCAAAGCTTAGAATATCCTGAAGATGACCCACCTCCACATATTTCCAAAATTGGGAGAGCTTTTTTTATAGAGTGATTTATTTCTATAGCTATTCATAGAAAGAGTCTGTTCCTTAAGGTATGTGACAACCTGCATTCATGCTTGAGATCACTGGGACTCATATGTTTATAAAGATCTCTGAAACTTCTGGCTTCTTTTTCTCATTTGTTGCCGTGTGAACCACTCATCCACTCCGGAAGCTCTCCTGCCACGGAAGTCTTTTAAAGCAGCTTATCTTTTGTGGTCATCTGATTGACAATGGTTCAACAAATCTTCAAAATGATTGTTTATAAGATTATAGACTTTGGTTATTATCTTTAAAACTTGTCTTTTCAGGTTAAATATAAATAATCTCCTAAAGTTTAGTCATCTTTTTCTTATTCTAGTTTCTATTCTCATTATTGTAACATGAAATCCAATATGAATTTAACGATTGTTAAATGGTGCCATTTGATTACTTCCTTGCTCTAATGACAAGAAATCAACTTCACAGTGAGTTCTTATCACAGTGGTGGTTTATTGTATGAATTCTGATGATAAAAACTTGATGTTGGGTATCCAAAATTACTCTTTAAAGTAAAGACTTTTGTTATATATATAGAGAGCGGAAGCAAAACAAACACCAATTGAATACAATGTTAATGTTGTCACCAAAATATAAAGTGATTTCTCATTTTAACTGCTGATTGAGTAAGAAATATTTGGTATTTAAAATTACAAATGTTTGTGTTGTAGTGTGGGATAATTAGCTTTTTACCTTTAAATTAAGTATGCACTGTAAATTTCCTTATAAATACAGTTGAATTTTATATTAGTCATTGTAAAGTGAATATGAAAATAACTTTATCTTGATTAGAATAACATTTTCTTCTTTATTAACACTAATGAGAACATCAAAGAATGTGATTAAATTAAAATGCATTTTCAAGGTATAGTTGTTTGTGGGCATAGAACAAATCTGTTTTCTTCTAATTTTGAAGCAATGGAGGCCATCTTGTTTCTTCCTAATTGAGACATTCTACAGTGTCTACAAGTGACATAAAATTTACCATAAATTTAGCTCACTCACTCTATCTATCATCTATCTATCTATCTATCTATCTATCTGTCTATCTATCTATCTATCTATCTATCCATCCATCCATCTAACTGACCTGTCTCTGCCTCATCTACCTACATAATGAATAAGATCTTATAAGCTTGGATTATAAGTTTATTGCATTAAATATATGGTAGTATTTTAAAGATTCTCACCTAATTGAATCTCTGCTCAGCCACTAAATCAGCAACTAAACAGATACGGATTTTGTAGAAAAAAGTTATTTAATTCATTTAAGTTTAATTTTAAAGCTGATAATTCAGTTTGTGAAAAATTTTTAAGTTTGTTTGAAACAACTTAGATATGGGTATCTACTTTTTCAGTGGTACATTTATTAAATCTAAATATATGCTAAATACTGCTGATGAAAATTTAGTGTCTGAATTGAGATGTTTTGTGAGAAATACATTACAGATTTCAAATATTATAAACATGTGAAATATCTAATTAATATTTTATTTTATATTATTAAATATATTTCAACATATAATAAGAAAATATTTTAGAAAGGTCAGCTTGAATAAAAATGTCATTAAAATCAATTTCACCTGTTTCTCTTTACTTTTTAAAATGTGCTGACTAGAAAGTTTGAACTTACTTATGTGGCTTGCATTGTATTTCTATTTGACAACACTGTTAGAAGAATACCCCAAGAGAAAGGGTAATATAATATGCCCTACATATAAAAATAAATTTGAAATGAATTAGGAGAGTTTGGTGTGAAAAATAAGTCATAAACAACTATGATAGGTACTCACTTTATTTTTGAAGGGGTAATAGTTTTATCAGTACTAGGGAAAAGGAATAAATATAATATATTTATAGCTTTGACTATATAAAATTACTGACTTTGTGGGTTTCTATGTGTATATTTTAAGAATCCATCATGAGTAAAATTAAAAAGCAGCAGTTCACAATGTTTCCACAGCAGCTCCTCTTGCCTTCCATGGAGGGGAAAGGCCTTCTACTAAATTCTCTGCAGTGGATAGCATTGGGATCATTCTTCTGGACCTTTATTTCTTCCCTGGACAAGGAGAGGCTCATCCCATTCTTGTGACTGTATCAAACCTGATCTCTCTCTCCTTGGCAGAGTACATTGCTTTTCTTCATTCCTGTTTTGTAATAAGTTTCAGTTATTGGGAGTGATTTAAGTATGCTTGGGTACTCACATGTACTTTTTAAACTACACATTTGTGAAATTTTTGTGGTTAGTGGGAATAGGAGCACAGTCTTGTGCCACTAGACAAAATGTGATAGAGATACATTTTGAGAAATGTGTAGTTAGGAGCTTTCATTGTCAGGAGCACTTCGTTGAGTGTACTAACACACACCTAGATGGCAGAGCACATTACATACCTAGAGCATAAGGTGTAGCCTATTACTCCTAGGCTACAAATCTGTACAGCATGTTACTGTTTTTAATAGTGTAAGGAGATAGTACCACACCGGTATTTCTGTATCTAAATATAGAAAAGATACAGTAAAAATACAGAATTATAATTTTTTGGAACCACAGTTATATATGCAGTCCATTGTTGCCTAAAATGTTATGCAGCACGTGGCTATATATGAATTGTCATTTTTCAGCCACACACATGATATGGTGCAAGGGTTAATGGTAAGTTTTAATGGATAGAAGTAGGTATCCCTATTTTGGCTTTCAGAAGCTAAATTTTTTATTGCTAAGTTTTTTATTTTTTCCAGTGAAAGTTGAATTAGTATATTAATGCCATCTGCCTCCTGTGACTTTGATTTAATTTTTAATTCAGTAGGCATAAACTCATGATATAATGCATTGGGAAATATGCCTACTCACCTATGTTGTGTTCTTGTCAGGTATGTTTGACCTGAATCTAATGTTGAAAAAACATCAGATATATCTGGAAAGCAGGATGGTGTATAGGCTGATTAACCTGGACCCTTAGAGGAGTCAGTATCAAGAAAGACCTAGGAGAAGGTGTAACTCTTATACACTAAGAGAACTAAAGATTCAAATGCTATACATAATTGAATCTTGAATCTTGAAAAAACATTTTGAGGATGATTGGGAGAATTTGTATATGAACTGTGTATTAAATAATACTATGATTGTTAATATTCTTGGGTGTGGTAATGATGTGGTTTCATTGGAAATAATATTTTCCTTCTTGGGAGATGCATGCTGAAGTATTTAGGAGTGACATATACTTTTAGAAGTACATTCACGCCTACTTTTGGAAGGTTTGACAAAAGTTGAGTATGTGTGTGTGTATGTGTGTGTGTGCATGCTTACATATGTAGATAGGCAATAGGTATTGCAGAGCTGTTAACAAATCATATAGGTTTTTCTGTACTGCCCTTTCAGACTTTCAGTGTTTTTAATATTTTTCAAAATAAAAAAACATGCATAGGTATTTTTATGTATATGTGGCATGGGGATGAGAAGTGTGATTAATTAATAATGCAAAACCCCAACATATAAGTGACAAATACTTGCAACCTACATGAAAAATGGTTAATCAAACCAGTTTGTTAGAAAATCTTAAGAGCAATAAGAAAAAGATAATTTCCTTAATAGAAGAATAGCCAAATAACATGAGTAGGTTATCAAGAAAGAATAAAGACAAATTAAGTAAATAAAGATATTAAAATATTTAACACTGATAATCACAGGCAGGAACTTATATACAATGCCAAGGTAGAAATTTGCATTTTCTTTAGTACAATATTTTACAATTATAAATAATATTACAGTCTAGGGAAACAGACTATCTCTTAAACTGCTGATAAAAGTACAATACTTTACAAACGTTATTTGTAAATTTGTAACAAGTAACATATATATGTATATATATATATATAAATTTGTATTAACATATCCTAAGGAAACCTAAAATATCAGCAAAATTGTACCAACAAAGTTTTTTTTTTTTTTTTTTTTTTTTTTTTTTTGAGATGGAGTCTCACTCTGTTGCCAGGCTGGAGTGAAAAGCCTTGACCTCTGCTCACTGTAACCTCCGCCTCCTGGGTTCAAGCGATACTCCTGCCTCAGCCTCCTGAGTAGCTGGGACTACAGGCGTGCCCCAACACGCCCAGCTAATTTTAGTAATTTTAGTAGAGACAGGGTTTCACCATGTTGGCCAGGCTGCTCTCGATCTCCTGACCTCATGATCCACCTGCCTTTGCCTCCCAAAGTGCTAGGGTTACAGGCATGAGCCACAGCACCTAGGCCAACAAAGATTTTTTAACAGGATTTTTAAAAAGGCAGAACATTATAGATTCCAGGATATGTTTCCTCATATTTAGAGTATACAATTTTTAAAATGTTTACATCTTGGTGGGGTGGTGTTGCAAGTACTAAATAATGACAGAATGACTGCAAAATTAATAGGATTAAATGAGATGATGAATGCATAGTAGACAGTACAGTATATTAATCAAATCGAAATGACTAACATAGACTCCAGTGGGGATTAGGACTGTACAGTATGTTAGTTAAATAGGAAAGACGAGCATAGAGTCTAATGTGGATTAGGTAAATAAATTATATGCTATTCAACAGAAAACTATGAATTTATTAAAAGCCATGTGCTCAAAGATTTCTAACTGGTATTTTAAAATAAAATGTCAGGTTACCAAAAACTTTAGTATGACAGTAATGTAAAAAAAACCCACACACACACACACACACAAATATTTAAATTTACATTCATGTAAGAGCATAAAAAGCCACATAGCAAAACAGTAATAGCAGTTCTTCAGAGGGTGGAATCATAAACAATGTTAATGTTCTTTTTTCTTTTTCTCCCTAAATTCCTCACGAGTATTTCATTTATTGACTTAAAACCCCCAAACTCAAATCAAAAATAACCAAAATTTTGCAAGTAACATTATTCTCTGAAAATAGAATATGATTTTTATTTCCCAATGCAGAGTATTAAGGGAAAATTTATAATGAAGATAAATTCAAGGCACTGATATAGCAGGACTTTAGAATTATTTGAGGGTGTCTTCCTATTCAGAAGAAGCAATCTGCAGGGTTAAAACAATGAGGATGGTATCACATTATAGAAATAGACTGGTGTAGCGGAATCAGATAGGCTTAGGTAGAAACTGATTTTGACGTTCTTCATGGTATGATTTAAGTTTTTAATCTTTTGAAATTTCCATTTTCCCACCCATTTTTGTACTGAGAATAATAACACCTAAATAAGGGTACTATGATTGTTAAATGAAACTATAAGAGTGGGGAGGGGGCGGGAAAGAGAGAGAAGCCCCTATCTGCTGTGCCAAACTTTAAATTATTCAGTTTACATACATGATCTCATTTAATCCTCACATACCAATGAGGTGTTCTGGGTATAATTCCTTGCAAAGTCCATCTAACTTCAAGAACCACAGTGGTGCACAGAGCCTCCTTTACAAGCCCTAAAGCCAGATTCTGGAGGTGTAATGTTTTCTTTGTCCCTGCAACCTGAAGAGAATCATTTTGGCAGTGTGACCTCTGAGAGTATAACATTTCTCCATTAGACCTTAAGTTCTATTGAGATGTCCTAAAGTGAATCTTTGTCAAAATTCAGAAACAAAGAAGCCAAAGTTAGCCTCTTTGTTCTCTAGAAGGCTTAAATGAAAAAGGGTGGGCCAGGTGCAGTGGCTCACACCTGTAATCCCAGCACTTTGGGAGGCCGAGGCAGGAGGATGACTTGAGGTCAGGAGATGGAGACCATCCTGGCCAACATGGTGAAATCCCGTCTCTACTAAAAATAGAAAAATTAGCCTGGTGTGGTGGCACGCGCCTGTAGTCCTAGCTACTCAGGAGGCTGAGGCAGGAGAAAAGCTTGAACCTGGGAGATGGAGAGGTTGCAGTGAGCCGAGATCGGCCACTGCACTCCAGCCTGGGTGACAGAGTGAGACTCCCTATTAAAAAAAAAAAAAAAAAGAAAAGGAAAAGGGTGATAGAAGTTTCAGTCAGCCAGAGGAATAGAAATCAAGGGGATTCACAAAAATGCCACTTGCCTTTGCTTTTTGTTTATAGATTTTGCATCTTTTTACAGAGTCAAGATGTTCCCTACAGATTCATAGGCCTGAGTTTAGCACATAGCTGAGATAAGGAGACCCAACAGCATTTTGAACCTTCAGATAAACAGATCAGATGACATTAAAATTAAGAGGCAGTGAGAGATCAGTAATGCATTGTTATAGCTTTGAGGCTGAATGGAAATTATTCTACTTCTACAAAGTCTTCGCTCCTGAAACACTTGCTATACCATACCACGGAATCATAGACATTTATCACCCTTAATACATCCACTCATTGTCAGAAGCTTCTGAGCATAGATGGAATGATGCTCAGTTCAAGACAACATATCTATAAATCCTACCCCATTAATTTACTTTCTTTTCAAGAAATATTCCTGAAATTCAAGCTGCTTGACCAAAGAGCTGAGATTTTATCATTTGAAATAAAAGCACCTTTATGTCTATTTGTTTAGTTTTCAAATTAGATAGTATTTCTTTTTCTTTTAATTGCACGTGCTAACAATTTTTAGTGGATAAGCTCATATGCAATATTATGGCATGAAAATAATTTACAGCACTATGAGTGTCTCTCTGAATTATCCCCAATTCACTGCATTATTAAATATTATATATATTATTCAATATATTTTTATCAAATAAATATTTTTCTTGCAAATGAGATCAAAACTACTTAGCATTATATAAGATTACTAGACACTGATGAGATAACATGAATTTTTTTTTTTTACTAAAATGTCCTGCTTTTAGTTTATATACTGCGTTGATAGACACACAGGGGAAAATGTGATGAGAGAAAAATGGGAAGGCAATTTAGTTTATTTACACAATATCCACATTTGTTAGTATTTAATGTTTATTATTTATTCATCCTTTTTTTTACTGCCTCTGTGCCTTGAGATAAAGATTTGAGCATGTGCTTTCCTCATGTTTATCTGGATCCAACAGAAGGTCGCCTGGGAGCTGGAAGGGCAGGCATTTTAAAACCCAAATATTTAATTACCTCTCCTGGCCTGGTTGAGGAGGCATCCCGTAGTTTACAGGGGCAAGGGTGCTTGTGTTTGGGCTAGTGGTTCAGTGTGTCTGGAGAATGAATGTTTGACACTCCCTTCATGGATTGTGAAGCAGGCTGAGAACTAATCAGTTTTCTGTAACCTACTGTTTTGTAGCTTTATTATTTTCAAAGATGGTGAGTTCCCAGGTTGGACCCACTAAGAACCAACTATGAGTATGACAGGCAATCTAAACAAGGTGGCCCACATTTTTTAGTAAGACCTGATTGCTCATTTTGTTTTATATTGATTGCAAATTTGCTTCTATTTACTGTCAACTGTAGGTCCTGGTTCTTCTTCCTGAAGCAACATAAATCAGCTCTTTCTTTTTTCTACACTGTAGCTCTCCTGCCTATTTGATATTTTCTATGATCCATAGAGGTTAATGTTAGACTATGTGATATTTTGACTTGAATTGCCTGTGACAATTCTGTATGTACATATGTGTATTAGAATATAAACCATAAAATCATTTCTGGTAGAGCAAGATCTAGCTAGTTAACTGTACTTGGGACCTAAAAGAAATCTGCTTTGAAAAATATTTTAAAATGTATATTAATCACAGCATCTTTATGATACTGTATATGATTTGAGTAATGGTAAAAATGTGATTATGTCTGAACATTATGAGGAATTGGGACTGTAGTAAATTTTATAGTTGTACGTATAAGAAAATCCATCGAACAAACTCAATAATAAAAGGTATCTTTAGGGTATTAGATTCCTTATGGAATCAGAATTTATTGGTAATTTCATTGGAATGTTTGAGAGGGTATATGTCACTGAGGTGGGGAGAGGTATTTTGATGAAAGCCAGTGGAATACTCATAAAAGTTTTCTTTTTTTAAAAAAAGAAAAAGATCGTGGTGCAGTGAACATATTGCATGCCTGTCGGCATCTTATTCTAAAGCACTCTCCACACAAGAGTAATTTTAATAATTAGGACTGTCTTTATGCTACTGCTGACAACTTCCAAATGTCTACAGGGAACTGAATGTCAGTGTGTGTGTGTGTGTGTGTGTGTGTGCGCGCGGGCGTGTGTTCTCTCTTGTGGGTGTGACTTTCTCCTCTATTCTTCAGCAGCATTTAGCCTGGCATAAAATCATATTTTACTACTTACAATTAGCCTTAGCCATTGACAGGAGGTAAGGGGAAAGAAAAGTAAAACCCTTTCATTAAAAAAAATTTATTTTTATTTATACATTTAGTTTTTTCTTTCCAACTTTTATATTTGGTTGAGAGGGTACATGTGCAGGTTTGTCATATAGATAAATTGCATGTTGTGGGTTTTGGTGTATAGATTATTTCATCATCCAGTTAATGAACATATTTACCTGATAGGTCAAGGGTCCCCAACACCTAGGCCACTGTCTGGTACTGGTCTGTGGCCTGTTAGGAGCTGGGCCACACAGCAGGAGGTGAGCCACAGGCAAGAGAGCCATCTGTATTTACAGTTTTTCACATCATGGCTCACGTTACCACCTGAGCTCTGCCTGCCGTCAGATCAGCAGTGGCTTTAGATTCTACTAGCAGTGCCCTATTGTGAACTGTGCATGTAGGGGATCTAGGTTGTGTGGTTCTTTATGAGAATCTAATACCTGATGATCTGTCACTGTCTCCCATCACCCCCAGATGGGACTGTCTAGTTTCAGGAAAACAAGCTCAGGGCTCCCATGAGTCTACAATAAGGTGAGTTGTATAATTATTTCATTATATATTACAATGTAATAATAATAGACATAAAGTGCACAATAAATGTAATGTGCTTGAATCATCCTGAAACTATTCTCCCACCCCCTGGTCTGTGGAAAAATTGTCTTCTACAAAACTTGTCCCTGGTGCCAAAAGGGCACCTTTATTCCCTTTTTTGTGTCCATGTGTACTCAATGTTTAGCTCCCACTTATGAGAACATGCAATATTTGATTTTCTGTTCCTGCATTAATTTACTCAGGAGTATGGCCTCCAGCTCCATTCATGCTGCTGCAAAGGACATGATTTCATTATTTTTTATGGATGTGTAGTATTCCATGGTATATTTGTACCATATTTTCTTTATCCAGTTCACCATTGATGGGCATCTAGGTTAATTCCATGTCTTTGCTATTGTGAATCATGCTGTGATGAACATACACGTGCATGTTTCTTTACGGCAGAATGGTTTATATTTCTTTGGATATATACTCAGTAATGGGATTGCTGGGTTGACTGGTAGTTCTGTTTCAAGTTCTTTGAGAAAAGGAAGTAAAATTTTAAGAGTAATGTTATTTGAGATTAGGCATTTGGTTCATTATTATTGTCACTTTCTGCTTTGAAATTTGTTCTCTTGAATACGAAGATTTAATGACAAAGAGAATCCCAATTATAAATTTATAAATCCTAATTATAAAACAAACATTATAAAAAACCGTTTGCTTTAAGTGTCAAGCCAGTCCTTTGAAAGTCTTGTTTGATATTTCCTTTAGAGAAGGATATTCTTAGATCCAGAAGGCTCTAAGGGAGTTACGAAGAATCAGCAAAGAGGAAAAAAACCAATACATTCACACTCCTATTCCCACCACATAGAATCACCTGGGAAGATATTGCAACAAAATGATAATGCCCAGGCCCCTACCAGAGAAATTATGATTTTATTGGTCTGAGATAGGGCTTGGATATTGGTATTTTTCAATATCTCTCCAGGTGATTCCAGTGTGTAGCTAAGGATCGGAATAGCTGGTCTACTCTAGAACAGCATAAATGTAAATCTTATACTTGGCAGGCTTAGCACTTGAATTAGGAACTATCATAGAGGTATGTCTCACTGTTTCTAACTAGTTGTGGTGCTCTGTCAGTTCCAAGAAAAATATTATTGTTGGCTACTAAATGGTTAGCTTAATACTATACCCATTTATCTTGCATCTGGCTAGTACTTGCCAGTAAGACTGAATGGCAAATCTGTCTTCCCTATGTTAGTACTTTGTTGTCATGTGAAATGAGATTAATATCCCATCTTTGCACAAAAGTTAAAGCATGGGGGATCTCTTGAGAAAGACTTTTTAAATGAGATTTATAAAATCTTATGTGTTTTCTGATTATAATATGTATAATAAGCTATATTTTTGTTTATTATAAAATAAATTAAGATTAACATTTATATGATTCTACAACATAAAAATGTTTAATCGGCAGTAGATTCATTCATGAGGAAGACAAGATAATTTAGAAGGTGAGTAAAATGTAAATTCTGGAAAAGCAAGTTCAATCAACATTCAAATTATATTCAGGGCTCAGACTAAGGGTTATGTCTTTGGGAATGTATGTTATTTGGTTTATGACATATAAGTATACGACAGCTAGGAAAAAAGGATTAAGAAGAATGCAATATGACTATGTAGAGGCCGATGAATCATGCTGGTTTGGTCCAATCAGAAATGATATTGGGTTCATTTACATAGGATCTAACTCATGTAATGGGAGTTGGGGAAACTATAACAGTCTGAGATATAGATTGAAATATTTAATAAAATTATTATTTAAATTTCCAACTTTAAACACTAAGAGATACATTTACAGAGAATATATGCAGGGGGAATTCATGCAGGATATATTTAGAACCTTTCTCATTATCATGTCCTTTCTTCCTCCTCCCGTCTCCGAAGAGAGATGTCTTAGCTTCTTGTTTTCACCTTCTTTTTTAGCATTAGATCCACCAGGTTTGCATAACATTCTTTAAAAAACCCTTCCAAACTTTATTTCTCTATAACTTATATTGATAATCATTGAGAGAAGGCACTTTTATGATTTATGATTATTATTTATTATGTCCATGTCTTGGCTTCTTCATATATTGAAGATACGTATGTATATAGGAGACCTCTCTACTAAGGCCGTCTAGTTCCCCCATAACTCCACAAGGCAGCACTGCCTCCCATATGCAGCAACCATTATCTTGCTACAATTAAGGTTCCCTATTAGTTTGTATGATTTTCTTTTATATTTATAGTAATTTATTTATTTGAGATGGAGTCTCACTCTGTTGCCCAGGCTAGAGGGCAGTGGCACGGTCTCAGCTCACTGCAACCTCCACCTTCCGGGTTCAAGCAATTCTCCTACCTCAGCCTCAAGTAGTTGTTATTACAGGTGCATGCCACCACGCCTGGCTAACTTTTTGTATTTTTTAGTGGAGATGGGGTTTTACTATGTTGGCCAGTCTGGTCTCGAACTCCTAACCTCAGATGATCCACCCACCTCGGCCTCTCAAAATGCTGGGATTACAGGCATGAGCCACCGTGCCTGGCCTTGTAGTATTTTAAAATTATTTTTATTTTACATAAGGACAGCATTTCCCTCCTTTTATCAAGAAACAACTCCACCAACACAGCACAGCTCCCAAAAGCCATCTGGATTTGCTCTTAGCAGTGTTGTAAGCTTATCCATAAGGATGACTTTTACCAGAAACTATTCTAGAAACAATTTTCTTCAAAGGGTCTACACGCTTTTGGAATAAATATTCATATTATTTCCACAGCATTTTGAATATAAATTTAATAACACAGCTACACTATGAATCTATGTGCTATTTAACTTGTCAAATTAGCAAAATATTGTCCATCTTTTGCTACATCTGAGAGTCCATGTGTTTCTGTGGATCTCTCTGTCTCATTCTGATCTATGTTCCTTTTAAAATGAAAACATTGGCAAAAAACTTTTATTAGACTTTTTTTTGTAAGTAACTTTGTAATGATGTGTATCCATTTGTAAGTAAATTATAAAACAAATAATAAAATAATGCATTTAAATTCCCATCTATTCCTTAACTTCTAGGATGGAAATGTAATATATTTGATTTGGGTTTAAATATTAGAACTGTTTGATGAGTTTAAACAGCAAACTTCATGAGGATAGAGGGGATACCATCTGTGTGACTTACTGCTTATTATCTGGTGCCTATCACAGGGCCTGGTACATAGTGAATACTCAGTAGTATTTGTTAGATATATTCAGACATTTAAAAAGTGATTTGCTCTTTGAGCTTTAAGATACCACCCACAGAAAAATTTTAGAATTTGAGTAATAATCTCAAGTCTAACACTTGTGGTCCAAAACAATTATGAGTTATATCTCAGCTTTCTATTGTAGGGTCTTAATATAGTTTACTACAAAAATGACATTGAATAAGAGGAGGCACATGTAACTAAGCTTTTAAAAGCCTTTCTGATGGTATAGTTTCATTGTCAATTTGAAAATTTCTCAAATAAATAGGTTTCTTTTCATTCTCCTAATAGAAACACAAAGAGTTTGAGTAAATTACTAGAAGCCCTAGTGAGCAGAGGTTCTCTGTTTTACCTCCTCGTTTCCTTTTTATAGAATGAATCCTACTCCCTTTAAAAATATTTACTTTTTTCTTATTATGTCTTCATCTTTTAATCTTATTTTCTCAGTTGTTTTCTCTAAAAACAGAAATGTGATTTCACATTACTGTGTACAGTTTTAGTATATTTAGTTTTTTTGTAATTGAGATTGTTGCTTTCTGAAAAAATGAATTTTGAAGAAGACAACATAACTTTTGAGGTAACCTATTTAAATTGTCATCCTCCTGATCCTTGAAGAAGCCTGGTGAGAATCTGTGATGTTGTCCAGCGTGGAATACTTGAGAGGTGCTCAACTTACCGTGTCACAGTGTTTGAGGTTTTCTTAGATGTTATGTCCAGATTTCTATTCTTCTGACATCAGTTGAGCAATCCTAAGAGAACTGTTGGTAAATTTGTGATAGATTGATGAACATCTTCATTTATCATTTTTTAAATTCATTGTCCCTATGTAGCAGATAATGTAATATTCACAGGAAATATAAGCATAAAAACATAATTGATGTTTGTACAGATAGAATAGAGAAATTGATCGTCTATATTAAGGAGCAGAAGAAAAGGAGACTGCTGGGTACACTTTTTTTTTCTCCCTTCTGTTTTTCTAGTCTTTTAGAAGTTGTGATGAAGGAAGTGTCAAGATTACAAGGAGTTAGAAGTCTCCTCTGTCTCAATGCACAGACTTTGGAAGCTATGGGACAGATCAGGGAGCTATGTCTGGGAGAGAGGAGTAGATGAAAGGGACTCCAGAAGCAGAACAGGTCCTTGTAGCATGGAAAAAGCCCATTTCATAGATGAGGAATTTGAGGCACTAATATGTGAAGAAAACCTGATCAAGTTTCCATGCCTAGGGAGCAGAACACGAGTCTGATCCTTCAGTCCCCACTCTTACCTTGCACTCGTTGTTTCCTCTCCTCCAAAGAAAATGATGTTTCAAGTGCCGATTTAAAAAAGGTGGCAGTTTAGATAGAAGGTGGATTTTGTTCTTCCAGAATGTAGAAGAGTAGCATCACAATTAATTTCCTACTGTGATATTTCAAGTGAGTTTTAACCTGACCAGCATCTTGGTGAAGTAATCCCAGGAAAAGGGATTGCATACAATGTTTCCAGAAAAAAATGAGCAAACTTAAAAATCACATACTAGAAATCTCTAAAACCCTTTTGTCTACTTATTATAGGAGATATTTAAAAATTAGGCTACACAAACCTGGCTCCTGTCACCATCTTGATGGTTCTTCTCTCCGTATTTCAACTCGGATATACTTGCCCAACTCTTCCTTTAAATTATTTCTCATCTGATATTCAGGGAATCTCAACTCTTACTTGTCCCTACTTCTAAACTCAGTTCCAGGCCTAATTTTTCCTATAAAATAATCTTCATGCTTAGTTGAATAAACATCTGTCTGCTAATTGAACTCATAATCTTTGTAGAAGAGTTGTGCTTTGAAAAAATATTTTTCTCATGTTAAATTGGCATAGCATTAGTTGGCCTATGTATTCATGTGATACATTCTATAGAAACAACTCTAGTTACCTTTTTGCCTGTTATCGATGAGCTTGAGTTAAGATCTGCTGTAGAAGGAAGCTAGTTTCAAGGTCCGGTATAATGTGACGTTGTACAAACAATATTTTATTCTTTATGAAGGTGTCTGAGGGCAACTCAAAAGAGATATGGTATTTGGGAGAAATAGACAGTTTTAAATAAGTTCTAAAAATTTATAATTTTATCTAGTGATAAATGCTTTAAAAACATAAAAAGAAAAGCAATCATTTCCTTAACACAATTACTGCAAACTGTGCAAGGCTCTGTCATCAGCTTTTACATGGAAAGATTTCTATGTCTGTAAGAAGCCACCCATCAAGTGCTGATATCTATAATTCAGCTCTTGTTAGTGAAGTAAGGTAAATTCAGGAACAAACAATTTCAGAAGATGGCTTGCAACATTTGGTCTGTGAAAAAGTAATGTCTGCCTGTTTACCAGTTATGCCTTTATAAATTATTTCCCGTAGCAACCTTTAACAAAGCTTTTTTTTTCTTTTGAATGTGAAAATCTTGTGACATAAACCTAAGTGTAATTATATAATATTTTAAGAAACAAGTTATTAATGGATAATTGAATAATATTGACAGCCTAAGGAATGAATCTAAAGAGGTTGACAGAACTGCAGATTTTGGTTTCAAACTCATGTTTGTTTAATTTCTTTTTGGAATAAATCTAGAATTACAAACACAAACTTATGAAAATTTGTATATATGAGTTACATCATTAACATATCATTTTAGAAATGTTACTCTAGTTTTTTCTAAAATTATTCTTCTAAATAATCTTAACTATTATGTAATTAATTCAGAAAAATTGTATATAACACAATCATAATCAGAAAAATCACATTTTCTAGAGAAGAGCAACAACTATATTACAATATAAATAATAAGGTTGACTTATATTTGAAAATATTTTGTAAATGTTGCTTAAATAAATTGTAGTTAGCTCTCTGTGACATTTAGTATTCTGGATAATCCATGCTTCTCTTTCTTGCATCAGCATGCTTTAAAAGCAAACCAAATTGTATTTTTCCTTTTCAAAAGTTAAGACTTGCTAACCTACATAAGAGTAATAAAAATATCAGTTTTAGTTAACATGTTATTACTTTAATCCTTTAAATTCTATTTTTAAATATTTATATCTCTACTATCATAGCTTAAATATAAATTGAGATGGACTTTATTTGGTGAATTCTGTTTTCTTGTCAATTGTATAACTAATATACAAACTTGACTGAAGAAAATATCTTTGCTCTGCAATAATTCTAACTGTGTTAAATAGTGTAAATGCCCAGACATGATGAATGTTCTTTACTTTCTATAAAATGGTAGTAATAATAGTGGTAGTAGTGGGAGCAGTATTAGTGGTAGCAAGTAATAAGCATTGGTATAACTTTTAGTTATACAAAAATATTGACATATTTTGACGTATTCCTTATGTCATTTATGAAGAGTGTGCTTTTCCACCAAGATTATTTGGTAGAACTCCAAACGAGTTTTCTGACCTTCATATTTACATTCTTTGTATTATGCTAGATGTTGCTGGCGGTAGTAGGCAAGGTTTAATAGTCTTGATTTTACCCAATGAAGAAGCTGAAATCATGGGAAGTCAGTGAGGCATTCACTAAAATTCATTTATTCTACATACATAATTTGTGGCAATTTGCTAGTTGCTGCAAAGGAACAAGAATATATCAGCTACAGTTTCATGGTAAGCATTCTAAATATTTTCACATAACAAATGCCCATTTTAAGTAAAAATAGTCTTTTCCACAAAAATTAAAAAACCCAAAGGAATTTATAAAACATTGTTTTTGATATTCATGCAAAATTATGAAAACCATGAATATTTAAAATCTTGTTTTTGCTTTTTTGATATAAGGTTACTGGAGTATTTGTTAGACATTGTAATTTATTAAATATTGCCTTAATGCCAAGAGTTAGAAGTGACATTCTAATGGTCCCTGGCAAGTGTCTGTTTAGATATAAGGAAGAATGAATACTCCATAGCCTTTGGAGTTAATATGTGATCCAGGAACTAGCAATCAATAGCAAGTAGGTGCTAGATAAAAATGCAGACTTTCAGGTCCTTCTCCAGCCTTACTGAATCAGAATCTGTATTTTAACAAAATAATTCCTATGCTAATAATGCACTAGCCCTGTTATGGTTTGGCTCTGTGTTCGCACCCAAATCTCACCCTGAATTGTAGTTCCCATAATCCCCACATGTTGTAGGAGGGACCCAGTGGGAGGTAATTTAATCATGGGGGGCAATTACCCTTATGTTGATCTTGTGATAGGGAGTGAGTTCTCATGAGATCTGGTGGCTTTATAAGGGACTTTCCCCCCTTTTGCTCAGCAGCTTTCCTTCCTGCCATCATGTGAAGAAGGATGAATTTGCTTTGCCTTCGCCATGATTGTAAGTTTCCTGAGGCCTCCCCAGTCCTATGGAACTGTGACTCAATTAAAGCTCTTTCCTTTATACATTACCCAATCTCAGGTATTGCTTTATTAGCAGTGTGAGAATAGACTAATAGAGTAAATTGGTACCACGGGGGATGGGGGGGGGCGGTGGGGTGTGCTACTGTAAAAATACCTGAAAATGTGGAAGCAGCTTTGGAACTGGGTAACAGGCAGAGATTGGAACAGTTTGGAGGGCTCAGCAGAAGAAAGAAAAATGTGGGAAATTTTGGAAATTCCTAGAGACTTAGAGGGCTCAGAAGACAGAAAGATGTGGGAAAGTTTGAAACTTCTTAGAGACTTGTTGAATGGCTTTGACTAAAATGCTGATAGTGATATGGACAATGAAGTCCAGGCTGAGGTGGTCTCAGATGGAGATGAAGAACTTGTTGGAAACTGGAGTAAAGGTGACTCTTGTTATGCTTTAGCAAAGAGGCTGCCCTTGCCCTAGAGATCTGTGGAAATTTGAACTCAAGAGAGATGATTTAGGATATCTGGCAGAAGCAATTTCTAAGCTGCAAAGCGTTCAAGAGGAAGCAGAGTAAAAAGTTTGGAAAATTTGCAGCCTGACAATGCAATAGGAAAGAAAAACCCATTTTCTGAGGAGAAAGTCAAGCTGGCTGCAGAAATTTGCATAAGTAACAAGGAGCCAAATGTTAGTCATCAGGACAAGGGGGAAAATGTCTCCAGGGCGTATCAGAGACTTCTATGGCAGCCCCTCCCATCACAGGCCTGGGGGCATAAGAGGTAAAAATAGTTTCGTGGGCCATGCTCAGTGCACTGATGCTTTGCGTAGTCTTGGGACTTGGTCCTCTGTGTCCCAGTGGTGGCCAAAAGGGGCCAATGTACAGCTCAGGGCATTGCTTCAGTGGGTTCAAGCCCCAAGCCTTGATGCCTTCAACATGGTATTGGGCCTGTGGGTGCATGGAAGTCAAGAACTGAGGTTTGGGAACCTCCGCCTAGATTTCAAAGGACGTCCGGTTTTATACCTGTATGTCCAGGCAGAAGTTTGGTGCAGGGGTGGAGCTCTCATGAAGAACCTCTGCTAAGGCAGTGCAGAAGGGAAATCTGGGGTCAGAACCTCCACACAGAGTACCCACTTGGTCACTGCCTAGTGGAGCTGTGAGAGGAGGGCCACCATCCCCCAGACCCCAGAATGGTATATTCACTGAGAGATTGCACCATGCGCCTGGAAAAGCTGCAGACACTCACTGCCAGCCTGTAAAAGCAGCCAGAAGGGGGGCTGTGGGTTGCAAAGCCACAGGGGTAGAGCTGCACAAGACTGTGGGAGCCCATCTTTTGCATCAGCATTCCCTGGATGTGAGACATGGAGTCAAAGGAGATCATTTCAGAGCTTTAAGATTTGGCTGCCCCGCTGGATTTTAAACTTGCATGGGTCCTATAGCCCCTTTGTTTTAGCTAATTTCTCCCATTTGGAACGGCTGTATTTACCCAATGCTTGTACCTCCAATGTATCTAGGAAGCAATTAACTTGCTTTTGATTTTACAGGCTCATAGGTTGAAGGGACTTGCCTTGTCTCAGATGAGACTTTGGACTGGGACTTTTGGGTTAGTGCTGGAATGAGTTAGGACTTTGGGGAACTGTTAAAAGGGCATGATTGTGTTTTAAAATGTGAGGACATGAGATTTGGGAGGGGCCAGAGGTAGAATGATATGCTTTGGCTCTGTGTCCCCACCCAGATCTTACCTTGAATTGTAGTTCCCATAATCCCCACATGTTGCGGGAGGGACTCAGTTGGAGGTAATTTAATCATGGGGGCATTTGCCCTCATGCTGTTCTCGTGATAGTGAGTTCTCATGATATCTATTGGTAGGCCATATAGGTAATAAGAGGATAAATTATGGATTTATTAGAAGTAGTATGGTCTAAAACTATACTGGATATTGAGAAAACAGTTTGAGGGCTGAATATGCAACTGTTTAGTAGCTGTATGTTCTTTGGCAAAGAAGATAACCAAATGAGACTTAGCATCTTCATTTGTAAGACATGAGAATTAGACTAGATGTTCCTAACTTGTTTCCATTTCTTACTTGCATTTATTTTTCTAATTGGTATATAATTGACTAATGATATCTACAGATATTTATAATATTTATGTGCAGTTAAGTGATTTATAAAACAATTAACTTCTTTGAAATAAGTGTGGTCCAGCTTATTTCCCCTTGGGTCAGAACATCTGTTAAAATTTTAGCAAATATTGGCCCTTGATTTTAGATATGGGGTTTCATTGGTAACACAATTCTTTTAACAATCTCAGTAAGCTATTGATTTACTTGTATTGTTGGATATTATGGTCCAATGGCTATTAACCAATACCACAGTTCATGTCCAAACATGATTCTCCAATCTAGTCTTCACCTAGAAGGTTTCCAGCATTTCCAGCATGAGTCTTGGCACTTTGGTCATTGCATTTCCCTTCACTTCTTGTGTCTTCTTCCTACTACGCAATGAGCTAGAGATGAGAATGTGTTATTTGCCTCCAGGCTCTTTCCCAGAAATGAGTTTTCATATAGATGTTATTTACTTTATTAGGCAACCAGTGCCCCACAGCACATATTTAAGGTATCCAAAAGGATGCCTGGGAAGTACCTGGGAGAGTTTCCCTTTTCCCAATTCTGTGGCTCTTCTCTGTCCCAAATCATATCTCACGTTCTGCTTTTTAATCTCTCTAACGTGGTCTACACTGACTTTAATTTAGGGCAGAAAATTCATCGTTTGTAAGCCTCAAAATTACTTGTTATTCAGACTAGCTAAATAGCTGGCTCTCTGAACGAGGCTATGTTCTCTATACCTTTCATTATCAGATGGGCCTGGATTGCAGCTTTTCCAGGAAGTTTTTATTGATGATGTCAAGAAATTTGTGAAACCCTTCAGACCTTGGTATTCTTCTAAATTGATCTCTAAACTCTTTCCTGAGTAGGAGCATTTTTTTTGTTGTTGTTGTTTTGTTTTGTTTTTTGAGACGGAGTCTCGTTCTGTCGCCCAGGCTGGAGGGCAGTGCCCTGATCTCAGCTCACTGCAAGCTCCGCCTCCCGGGTTCACGCCATTCTCCTGCCTCAGCCTTCCGAGTAGCTGGGACTACAGGCGCCCGCCACCACGCCAGGCTAATTTTTTTTTTTTTTTGTATTTTTAGTAGAGAAGGGGTTTCACCATGTTAGTCAGGATGGTCTCGATCTCCTGACCTCGTGATCCTCCTCCCTCAGCCTCCCAAAGTGCTGGGAGTACAGGCGTGAGCCACTGCGCCCGGCCGAGTAGGAACATTTTTTAAGACCTTTTTAAATAATAGGTGGCAGCTTGACATCTTCCTTGGCTATTGCTTCCTTGGCTATTGCTTTACATGCATGATGAATGTTTCAACCAAGGATGGAGGGACTCCTCACTATTCAGCACTGTACCTTCTAAATATTGTTAATTATTCCTGAAAGAAAGGTTTGATAGGATATTGCATCTATAGAACAAGAAAAGGCTGCCATTTTCTTGTTCTATAGATGGAATATCTTCTCAAATCTATACATACATATGTGTATTATATAAACAGCAGCCTTTGCTGCTGCTTATCTTATTGTATAAAATAGAAATATATATGAGCATTTATATATTTTCATTATATATACTATACATATAACAAGATAATGCTCCTAAAGTTAAAATGGAAGTTGCTGAAGAGTCATATTCAGCAGGAGGGCTGAAAAATCTATTAGTCATCCATAGGATAAATTGATCAATTTGAGAATATTTACCAACATACTGATGAGACAAAGAAATGGAAAATGAGAAAATGTAAGCGACCTGGAGACCAGTTATAGAGTATCCAATATCAGGCTGGTAAAAATTTTAGAAGGAGAAAATAAAGCTAGAAGAGGAAAGTATATGTAAGATAAATTTTCAGATTTTTAGAAGAGTCAATCTAATGCAAAGGAACAACTAAAACGAAGTAGTAACAACAATGTTCAAAAACAACATGGAAAAAAAAACCTTACACATATAGACACCACCCTGCACCCTTCCTCATCCACATACACCCCATCCACTGAAATGGTGACATTGCAGATCTTCAAGGATTAAGAGAAAATCCAAAAACTTCCAGAAAACAAAAACAAATGAGCTGTCTTCTAAATATAGGGATGACTTTATTTAAAGTCTGTTTAGACTTCAAATTAGCAATACTAAATGGCAGAAGATAATAAAACTAAGACTTCGAAATTTGGGAAGTTATTTTAAGATGCATTCTACTAAAGCAACATAAAATTTGAGATAAATGAACAATTGAACTTCAGAATTAGTGGAAGAAATCCTGGAATATAAAAAATTAAATTCCAGGATAACAGCAAATACAGAAAGTTGTAGGGAATTGGTTCCAGTTAGAATATTAAGTTTGGGGCTGGTCTGAAGGTAGTGAATTATCTCAGTCAATTGTTCACAGTCAGTTACAGATTGAGCTCCTTGTTCTACTCTTTCCTTTTTCCCTTCTTCTCACTACTGCACTTGATAGTCTTAAGAAAAGAATATTGGAGACTATTATTTTAAGTGAGGTAACTCAGGAATGGAAAACCAAACATTGTATGTTCTCACTCTTAGGTGGGAGCTAAGCTACGAGGATGCAAAGGCATAAGAATGACACAATGGACTTTGGGGATTCATGGGGAAAGGGTTGGAAGGGGGTGAAGGATAAAAGACTACAAACAGGGTACAGTGTATACTACCCAGCTGATGGGTGCACCAAAATCTCGCAAATCACCACTAAGGAACTTACTCATGTAACCAAACTTCACCTGTTCCCCAATAAACTATGGAAGTAAAATTAAAAAAGACTAATTTATTAAAAAATATTAAGTTTGGGGTTTTAAAATAAAGTTAGAAGCCATTACATAAATTACATGGATAAGAATCTAGAAATTCTTGATGAGTTGTGGGCACAGGTCTTCTGCCAACAGCAACAAAAAAGAAAACTAATTTGAACTTCTGGAAAAGATAAAGTTGTAAAAAATATTCCCAAAGTGAAGCAAGTAAAAATGTGGCATACTTTTAGAAAAATTAAGCAGCTATATATTGGTTATATGACTCAGGAAAAAGAAGAGGTCCTATTGATAGTCTAAATTTATGTGAAATGGTTTTGGATTTATAATAGATAAGGCTCAAGCCATTTTCCCATGATATAATGTTGTTTTTTCCTGTAAAATATGTTATTTTTATAAGATATTTTGATTGTGTTAAAACATTTCTGTTTCAGTTTCCTTAAAATATCTATATTTTATTCTTGTAGTTTGTTTTTTAGACACTTGAGCTGGCTTTTCATTTTTATGAGATTCCTTACTATGTAATTTTTGTAGAAAAATTGAACTATGCTCATTTACTGAATGAATAATTAAAAAGTATATATTAGTAACACCTACCAGTTAATATTTTCACAATTGTTTTAATGAAAGGAATGTTTTAGGAAACAATTTTAATTATAAACAGTTATCTAAGTTTCAGTAATTATTTAATTCCATATATCAATTGATATCTATTTTACTCAAAAATAGTTATTAAATATATAATACATATAAGCAGAAATAAAAATTTGAAATCTATCATCTATCTGAAATCTATGGCATAAAGTATCTAATGTACAACATGAAGACTACTTTTAGTAATATTGTATTGTATACTGGTAATTTGCCAAGAGAATACATTTTAGGTACTCTTACTAACACAAAAAGGAGAGGCAACTATATGTTAAGCAACTGTTAACTTGCTTAACTGTGGTAATCACTTCACTGTGTATATATATGAAGATAAGTATATCAAAACATGCTGCAAACTTTAAATATATACAACAAAATAGCTATAAAAACAATTGAATACTTTTTTTCTAAATACATACAAACTAATTTAGGAATAAAAACATTTAAAATAAAAAGAAACTCTTGAAATCTTAGCAATAATTTAAAAATGATATTATATTATTATATGGTATTATATTAATGATATTAAAATAATTAATTGCTTTATAATATTATAATATAAATCCTGTAAATGAGCTTGGATTAACTGATTCCCTGGTCATTACATATTTAGGTTGCTTCTAAAACTTTAATACTATTAAGAATAAGAGTTCTGGTTCACAGCTCATATATCTTTCTCCTCATATTTTTGATTAGTGCTAATACCTGGAAGCAGAACGAGTCTGAGTACAAACAAATATCAGGCTGTATGTATTGGCTAGACAGTATTTTAAAAATTTTATACTGAATTATACTATTATCCAAGGTTATAAAGATTTGGTCCCTGTAGACCTTCATAAGAATTGACTATTATTTTGAAAAGGTAAATTTGTTAAACTTAAAATGATAAAAGATAGCTGTTTTCTTTTATAAATTTAGTGGTCACTTTTTTATTTTATTACTTACTGATCCCGACTTAATAAGTATTTTAAAAATTGCATTCTTTTAATTGCTATTTATGCCTTTGTTCTGTTTTTTCTGTTATTTAGTTGTATGGTTTTCTTTTTGATTTGTACACCCTATATATAGCAAAGATAATTTTTTGGTGACATTTAATTTCAATTACTAAGTTGTTTTAAATATTATTTACAATATTTTTAACCTGAGATAGTTTTGATTTTTAAGTAACCATTTTTGTTACTTCTTACATGTTTTGTACACATAAGTTCCTTCTGTCTCAATATCTAGTTAATTTTGAGGTGTTTAGTTTTTCTATTTTTATAATTTAACTCCATATGAAAGTCAAATTTAAATAGCACAACTTTAGGGTCTTATTCTTGGTTGCAAGCAAGTAAAATACATTGATTTGAGCAGGAAATAAATTTATTGATTTCTGAAAAGGCAGCAGAACTAGAATTGGAAAAGAATCAGGAATAAAAGAGCCGTGGCTGCAGCTAGCATCACAGTGAAAATATCACATACTTCTCCCTTGGGGACGTTGTGCTTTCTGTTGCTAAAAACAGAGCAGACACATCCTGTACCACCTGCCACTGCTAGGCTTGGATGCTGATCTTGATTACTTATAGCTGTTGCCTCTGCCCACAGAAATTGTTGCTTCTGCTGCTGCTGTCTCCACTGGACTGGGTACTCTCCAGTTCCTATGGATTAGTTCAGTACAAAATCTTAGTTTGTGATCAGGACTGGTCATTTACTCTTGTCTAGAACTTACTATATATCACGCTGTTAAAAAATGTGTTATTTTTGAGTCATTTTTGAGCCCAGATTTTTTGTTATTTCAAGCCAAAAATATCTCAACAGGAACAAAATTTAGATAAAAAAATGAGATGTTCCAAATAACAGACCTAAAATGTAGACTTGGGGGCATGGAGGAGATTGGGTAGTAAGGATCCTTTGTTTGCAATGTGGAAGTTGATGGCCATCACAAAGTGACAAGAAGTATTCGAGTGCACTGTTTCCTGCTGCGTTTGGCTATACAAACTACCTGTCTAACAATACTGGAGCAGAAAGAAAAAGTAGGGTATTATGGTGTATTAGTATTTTTCAGTCTTTGTAGGTCTGGTAAAGAGATTAAGTGAGGTGGTCCATCCAAATGCAGAAAAAAAAAATAAAATATTTGTCTTCCTGAGAGAGGATCTCTCTACCTATTGTCTACATCTGAGCTAACTTTGTGTCCACCAGTCTGCCAAAATGGAGAAAGTTGAATTCCAAGCTAAAGTTAGGATAGGCAAAGTCAGAAAAATAGGAAACTTAGCTAGAAAACAAAACCAAAACCAAAAACAAACAACCCTAAATTCCTAGGCCTCGACCAAGCATCTTCTCTTAATCATTCTCTTCCCAGAAAAAATCCAAACCAAACCAAAACAAAAATCAGGGTTGCTATGAAAACCAGTTGTAATGCAAAGCAGGTTGCATTTATAGTTTCCCCACCCAATGCTACTTTAACAGTTATTTCAAGGTAGAGTCAGGACAGTCAGAAAATGAAGCCACTCACAGAAGTACCTGTATGGTGGGGCATGGACATTTAAAGATTCAAAACTATGATAATTACTTTGATCATCCATACTAGCTCTTGGAATTAGGGGAAGACCAAAAGACTGATAAAGGTACTGATGGATTGCTGTATTGTCAAAAAGAGATCCCAAGGCTGAGTGATGATAATCTAAAAAGTTCAATACCTAAGGCAAATTTTATCAGAATTTATCACCAAGCTTCACTCTCCCCTGCCCCCGCAAAGGCTCTTAGAGCTCCTTAGTCCCATGTCAGATGTGGCCTAGGAGGACAAATCTAGGGTCTTTGAAGGGTGATGGGCAGGAGAGTTCCCATGAGAAAGCAAAATACCAAGCAGGTTCTGTTGTTTGCCTGCAAATACCATTCCATCCCATTTCCTACTTTCTAAATGTAAATTGTGAAATATTCCCCATATTGTTGAAGTATCCATTCTTCCCCACCTTCCCAGGTGCCTCTGGGGATACCTATTTTGTCCTCCACTCCCTGGGTTGGAAGTTGAATATTTACTTCTGTTTTCATCATCTCAGCACTCTTCACAGAAATTCATTTAGGAATGGGCAAGTGAACTGATTATGGCCAGGAAAATATGAGAAGAAGTTCACTGGTGGGCTTCTGAGAAAAATTTAATTATTCTTAAGAAAGAGGCACAAGAAGAAAATGGTCTCTTGGCCGTCTCTGAAAGTTTCCATGTGTGTCTATATGATCTTCTAAGAACTTCTATAGTTATCTATCAACCAAACTGAGGTTGAAGCCAAGGTGAAGAGAGAGGCAGAGCCAATACCGAGGTTTATGGAGAAGGGAATTCAGAGGTTACCTTCACTTAAACCATCTTCCTGGATTGAAAGCTATATGAAATATTTCCTCTTTTCTATTACTTGCGGCCTTTAAAAATATACTAACTGAACATTCTAATGGCACGTAGAGTACAACATGAACACAGCTTAAAGTCAAACAGAATCATTGTTACATGGTGAGGATTTGTAGTAACTTAGTATGAGTTTTCTCTTAGCTAAATAAGAAGATCTGTCTCTTAAAGATTATAGATCTGAATCAGCAGAATATTTTTAAACTTATGATTAATGAAAGATGTTTTGAGATAAATTTTAATGTGCATTATATATATAATGCACATTATGTGTGCATTATATATATAATGCACATTATGTGTGCATTATATATATAATGCACATTATGTGTGCATTATATATATTTCAGGAAAAGGGTAAAGAGAAAGACAGGAAGAAAACAAATTGCAGAGAAGAGAAGGGAAGAGAATGCAAGAGAAAGGAGAAGGGACAGTCATAATGCAAGAGAAGGAAGAAAAGACAGTCATATTTACTGTATGATGTTCTTTACCTGAATTACTTTATTCAAATTAACAAGGTGAAATACATTATATTTTAAACATTATAAACACCTCATATAATATGCATTACCAAGTATCAAATATTTTGTGAATTTTAAGTGGTAACATATTTGAAAGAATGAAAGGTTAATCAATTTTTTTGCACTGTAATGCTGAATTAAGTGAAATTTTAAAATCAAAGTCATTAAGGGAGATTTCAAAATAGAACAGGTTGATTGACATACTACCAACATAATTTCAGGATTCAGAAAAGCTGATAGGTATTGAAAGGAAATATAAATTAATTTTTTTTGTAAGAAATGTCTTTTGATCCTATAAGGCACTTCTGGCCATATTCCTTAGTCAAACTGATGGTTGAGTTATATCATGCTAACAGGATGTCTTTTTCATTAAACATAATCTTTTCATGAAATTCAAACAAAATCTAAATTTAATTAAAATACAAAAGTGTACAGACTTTTAAAAGGAAAGAAATACTACATAAGTTCATAATTAAAATAATTAAAGCAGCACTGGACTGTTTGAAGCTGATGAGCTATAGCTCTAGCAAATGCTATCTGATTATTCAGGAAGGAGGAAGATCTTCATATGATCCTGATAGTATATAAAATTTTGGTTGGCATTGAGTTTGCTGGATAGTTACCTATTGCATTGCAACCACAAGAACACAAACAAACTCGAATTGATGATATTCATACTGTTGCTAAACTGAAAATCTTGATCAGCTTCCTAAAATGGCCAGTATTTAAAATTTGGGGGCAAACCTGTTTATAATTGTATATATGTGTGTTTACTGAATTTTTAATAGGAAAATGTGAGCAACATTGTCTTCTAGTCAAAATTCTTAGTGTTCATGACTAGGAAAAATTTATTCTACATTAAAATAAAGTCCAGTATGCTTGAAATTCCTATAGGTGTTTTCTGAAATCTACTGCTTAAATCAATAAATGTACTATTAATTACAGAAAAAAATTGTTGTCTTTTCATTATCAAGCCATAACTGCTCTGTCAAAATTTCAAGTCAATGCCAGTGTAGTTTTTCACACTTATGTACATTTTCATTTTTACAGTAGTGTCTGACTAACATAATACTAATGATGCTAGTGTCTGCAGCCAGCTATCTGTTTACCTCTTCCACAGTCTCAACCTACATTGAAGGTACCTAAGAATTTATCTTACTGGAGGGCCATTAACAGAGTTAGACCAAATTCAAATCCCATTAATGGTCCTGCTCAATTTGTGGCAGATGTTTCAGAATTCATGGCATACTGCCCTCAATTAAATGAAAGTGACTGTATTTTAAGTTTGACTGAAGTTGAGCAGTAAGTAGAATATGGTGCAATACCTTTATTATGATTATAGACCAAGAAGAGACTCTTCAGTCATATTATTGTAAAACTATTCTTAAACACTTTTAATCTGATCTCCTGTTGTATGCCTGCTATATATTTGTAAAAAATTACAAATTAGCAACTTTTTTTGCAAGTCATAATCATTTCCTAAAATGAGAAATACTAATTAAAAAAATCTTGGCATAAAAGCAAATGAAATTTAATTACTGTCATTAAGGACTGATTGTTCATCTAGCTCAGCCCAGTGTTAAAAACAGGTGTTTTATTCAGGAGTCCTAGTTGGATAGACTATCTCTGTAGTGTTTCTCACAATTTTATCTCTGCTTTTCCATTCCTACTCCCACCATCATTATTCATTTATTATTACCAATTTCAATAACATTTAATATTTACAGAGTTAAATGTGTTAATTTTTATTTATCCTCATAACAATACTGAACTCTCTATTATCCTAGATTACGAAGTAGAAATCTGGAAAGGAATCTACAAAGGCTGAAAAAATTATTCAAAACACTCAACAAAGGGCAGAGACTGTATTTCAACCTCAAATCTTATTAATTTGCAAATTCGTGTTCTTATTGATTCTACTCTTTACAGCTAAAGATTTGCAACAACTTTCTAAAATCATACTGTAAATTTACAGATTTCTATCAGATTATCACAATAATTTACTTATTGTCAACTTCTCTGAAATGTTTACTAGTTTCCTACTGGCTACTGGATTACATAAAATAATCATCCATGCATTCATATTCCTATTTGTTGGGGCTCAAAAGATAATACTTTAAAGTATGGTGGTTTGGTATGCTGAGAACTTTGAACTGTAGGACGCTGGAAGGGCCTTAGAAGCAAAGCCTCTTTTCTGACCCTTCTTTCTCCTGTTTACCTTTCTCCCCCAAGCTAGGCCTTAGAAACTAGGATTCCTCTTCCCTGAGGTGGGTCACATTTTATGGCATAGAGCCAGCCATAAAAGCTAGGGATATAACTCTAACCCCACCTTTCTGTGTAAGTGCTTCCCCTAAAAAAATTTTCTGACCTACCTTGTGTGAAAGTAGATCATAAGACCCTCATTCCAGAAGGGGTTCTGCCTTATACCTACGATGAAGGAAGACCGCACAGAGAAGCCAAGAATCCAGACAGGCCTCACCAGGCTTCTCCACTAATTCTGTAACTGTTAGAGCATTCCCTTTGTGTCCAATCACATTTCCACACACTGTTCACTCTTTACCAAATCTAAGTGTAAAACTAGACAGTGTTCCCTTCAGTCTTCATTCTGAAGGATCCTGTGTCACGTAAGACTCTGATTAAATAAATATGTTGTGTTTTTCCCTTGTTGAGTTGTCTTTAATTATTAAGAGTGTTGGTCGTGAACCTTATGATGGGTGGGGAAAGATACCACATTTTTTTCTGCCCCTACATCTCCATGTTGTCTTCAAACTCATGTATCACCGCTCCCAAAGCCATCAAATTGTCTTCAGCCTGTCTCACCTACTTTGCATTCCCTGAGCATGCTTAGGCCTTTTTCTCTAGCCTGATTGCGTCTCTAGCATTGTGGTTCCCGAAATCATGCCTGTCCTCAAAGTCCTCTCCGAGATATGACATCTTTTCCATGAAATCTTTTCTAATCTGTCTCCACCCTCTACCTTTCAAATTTCCTCAATTTCCAAAACTTAAATGCCTCACTTTTCATTGACTTTCCAGCCACTGCCTTGTTACCAGTATTACTGCACATCTTTCATTTGAATAATGTGATGCCTTGTTAATAAGTTGAATATAAATGCCTCAAAATTATCCCCCATGTGTTTCTGTGGTGCTTCCTTTCCTATAGAACTTATTTTGATCTCCCTTGTAGATAAATTTACAGTCTAATAAAACAACAAAAAATGTATAATATGTATTCCTCTGTAAACCTTTTTAGGTTTTTTTATGGATTGGTTTGGTTTCAGTTTAGTTACTTTTAAAGATCATGGAAGAGTTGGCCAGGCGTGGTGGCTCATGCCTGTAATCTTGGCACTTTGGGAGGCTGAGGCAGGCAGATCATGAGGTCAGGAGATGGAGACCATCCTGGCCAAAATGGTGAAACCCTGTCTCTACTAAAAATACAAAAATTATCTGAGCATGGTGGTGCGCACCTGTAATCCCAGCTACTCAGGAGGCTGAGGCAGGAGAATTGCTTGAACCAGGGAGTCGGAGGTTGCAGTGAGCCGAGATCATGCCACAGCACTCCAGCCTAGCGACAGAGTGAGACTCTGTCTCAAAAAAAAAAAAAAAAATCATCGAAGAGTTATCTCTACCAATAATTGCATAGGGATTAGGATTCAGTACTTTAAAAAATTTTGTTTTGAGGAGACGAGGAGAAAAAGTTCTAAACTGGAAGCTGACCTCCGGTTTACACATGAGTAGTCACATTAACTAGGGTGAGCTAATGCTTTATTTTCCAAACTGAGATAGTTTTGAGAGAGAACAGGCTCACTATAATTAAACCAGGACAATCCTGGTAGAACTTCATTCCATTAACTGACAGTGTAATGTTAGGCAAGATGCTTCATTATTTGGGGACTCAGTTTCCCCATCCACAGATGGCAAGTTTAAACTAAATATTTGTGATTTCTTCTGGCTCTAAAATTTGTAAAATAAGTTAAATAGTTTGTGCTATGAAATATACAATGATATTGAACATTTGTAAAATTTTCTTATAAATATTTTTCCATGTATTTTGCATTTTTTAGTTTAGGGATACGAATGCAGAGAATGTTAGTGGCAAAGAACTTTGCTAGAAAATGCTAAAATTTAGAACTATTTTTTGGAGTTGAGTTTTTTTTAGATTAATTTAAAAAGAATTGAGTAACAATACAAATTGAGTAATTGGTAACATACAATAGCTTATTATAGATTAATACATATATTGAATATAATCTTCAGGCTTCAAAGAGGAGTTGTGTGGGAAAGGCTTTGGAAGTGTCTAGAACTCTGGCAGATAAAAAATGGGAACTGCTCCAAAGAATATATATAGGAAAGTGGATATGGGAAAAGGATATGTGACTGTTTTGGGAAAGGTAAATTGTCTTAAATGTTTTAAAACTTTTTGGAAAAGAAAAAAGTACTTTTTGGATAATCAACTTTAAGAGTACTAGAAATAATATTTTCTTAAATGTGTTTCATCCAAATTAAACGTTGGAATTGTTTCTGTTTTCATGTAGAAATTAAAGCTTTTTTTTCCCCCTTAAAGTGACTTTTGAGGTGTGTGGTCTGTTTACATCCTTGTATACTCCAGTGTCTAGAAGTTGCCTGAATTTCAGAAGTCATCTAGAGATTATCTCAACATCTTTCTGTAGCATTTTAATACATTCATCCGGTTACCTCATCACAAATGCCAGGAAATAGGCTGACCAGATGCAGATAAAAATATTACACTCTGTTTTAATGCCATTATTAGAATTTCAAAAAAGAGGAAATGATCCTTAATTGTAGATTCAATTGTTATTTGCAGGTGCAAAAGGAAACTTTGGCTGCCTCATTTAATAACCTGTTCAAAGAGTTCAGAGGTGAATTAAAAGGATAGTAGAATTTAATAAGTGGCTAATTTAACTAGGTGTTGCCTGGAGAAGTTTATGAGTCCTTTAGGGAAGGAATAGTACTCTATATTAGCAAAAGTAACTCCTATTAACTAATCACTTAACATCAGAAAGGTATAAACCTGTTTTTCCTTTCTAAGGTATATTTGCTTGTTTTTTAACTGTTGCCAAGAAAATGATTAAAGTTTGTTGTTATTCAGGGTCTGGGTCTGGAAGACAAGTGTGTCTGAAACTTGCCTACTCCATATTTCTACTCAAATAATATAGCTTCTTCAGAGAGGAAAGTTTTATTACTGTGGGAAGAAAAATAAAGAAACATAGGGATTAAATTGAATATATTTCTTAGTTTCCTACATTAACTGATTTTGAGGTTATGCCTTCCTTCAGCTGTTGTACCAAGAAAAAAAGGCAATAAAAAAGTTATACAGTACATTTCCATGATTGATTATATGTTGCGTTAAATACTTAAATGTAGAGTTGTTTTCTTATCAGAGTCTTCAGTTACAATAGCTTGGTATTTTATTGAACATTCTTATGCATTTTGAAAATGTGATATAAGTTAGAAGGTAATCTTAGAGAATACATTTTTTTCCTTGTGTAGTTAGGTAGAATTGTGTTAGACTTAGGGTGAAATTATCATGCCATTTCTAGATATAATAGTTGTGATTTAGATGTAAAGTCTTCCTTTTTTATTCATTTTAAACTGATTGTTTATACATGCACCTTATATTTTTATCCAAATGCATTCTTTAAGAAACTAATCACAATGAAATATGAGTGTCTGTGTTTTACAGACATTTTCTCCAGCTAGAGATTTTCTTCTTGTTACCATTTTTATAAAATATGATAGAGATCTGGTGAAAAAGGACTGTCTTACTTAAAAACAGAAGCGAAGTTTAGACAAACTTTAAAAAAGTAATTTGGGAGGTTTTAAAAAAATTTTATAGTTTTTGAGAAACTTTAAAAAATGAATAGCTTTACATTAAAGGAGATACCAGATTTAGAAGGCCAAAATCCATTTATCTCATGTACGTTTGTCATTCTGGATTAGAATTTGTGTGTGTATATAATTTCAATATATAAGACACACATGCACACAAACACTAATTAGGTACCATTAATTTCTATTTGGCCTATGAATTTTTTTAAAATTTTTTCTTTTTAGTGACAGGGTCTCACTAGGTTGTTCAGGCTGGTCTCCAACTCCTGGCCTCAAGTGATGCTCCTGCCTCAATTTCCTTGTGAGCTGGGATCACGAGCACAAACCACTGCGCCTAGCTTGAATTTTTTATCAAATACTCAAATACATGTCAATATTTTTTTTCTCCTCACAATTACATAACTAAGGGATGCCAATATAGGTTCTCATAGACAAGAAGATACAAACAAAAATAGACTGAATAGAGTTATGAGAGAGGAATCCACATAACTAGAGTTGGTACTATATGAGACAGTGGTAGTTGTTTTATAATAATAAGAATAATAATTTACTGATCATGTATGCATTATTGAACATTATACCAAACACTTTATTTACATTTTTACAATTATTTCTCAGAGCAAACTTGAGACACATACTATTGTTGTCCTTATTTTACAGATAAGGAAACTGAGGCTTACAGAAGTTAAATCATCTTCCCAAGATCATAGAGCTAGAAAACAACAGAGTTGAGCTTGTAATTTTGGTCTAGCTAATCTAGATTAAAAAAAAAATCAGAATATGACAATTCTTGCATCCCTGTTTTACAGTGCCTTTCCTGATCATAATGAGTTCTTATAGAATTTTGTTATGTCCCTTAATATAAAGAAGACGGGCTATAATAAAAAATTATTTATTATAATTAATTAAGTTAAAATTGAAATGTTTTCATTGTAATTTTTTACAATATAAACTTTACATTTAAGTCTAATTGCTTTAATAATTAGTGCTTAGACAGTGTTAAAATTGAAATAAAAATGTATGTTTGCTTTTAAAGAATAATGCTAAAATCCAAATTCCCTACCTTAGGTACCCCAGTCTGAAAAAGTTATGAAAATAACACAGATGTATGAGCTTTCAAATTTAATGATTTTAATGCTTTCTTCTTTCTTATGCACATTCAGTACTCAGTCTAGTTATATGAGTTAAGAATATTCTAGCCAGTACAAGGAAGTTTGTAAACATATTGTTTATATTAACTGTCTTGTGTTTGGCACTGCTGCTCATTATAAACATCTGGATTTTACCTCAAGTACTTAAAATTGTTGACAGCAATTTTTGATAGTATTAGAAGTGAGAAAACAAAAACGATGAGCTTGATATGAAAAAGAAGAAAGGTTTAGGAGTAGGAATTAGGAAAAAGGAGTGCAAATTGAGAAAAGAGGTGCAGAGATCTGGGTCAAAGAGAAAAGGTCAGGCAGATGAAGAGAAAAGTCTTGGAAGGTATGTAGAGGATGACTGAAAACAGATGCCAGCAATAGTCAGGAGAGAGCCGAGGAGAGGAGATGGTGGTTCTGAAGGTTATTTATTCTTTAAAGATAGAGAAACAGAAATTAGATGGCCTTTTATGTCCAGAGGGAAAGTCCAAAAAGGACTCTTCTTATCCACCTTTGAAGAGAGAAACCATGAAGACACGCTCAGTGGGTGTAGACTGCAGGGCCAGCTCATTGCTCTTCACAAAGATGTCATTAATGTTAATATCTACTGAAAACGGTTGTTGCAGAATAGCAGAGGAATTAATGCACATAGCAAGGACTGAATAAATGCATGTCTTTATCATTATTATTTTGATATTATTTCCTTTGCTACTCACCAGTTTTCTCTGAGTAAAAGCATTTGGAAATTAGAGTAATAAAAAAAAAAATAAAAGTGTAATGGAATCATCCTGATTTGAGATATTTGTGATACAAAGATCTAAGTAGATTTAAATTTTTTTCTTTTTATTATCAATATAATTTTTAGAAACAACATATGGCAAAATTCTTTATAGTCACAGATAATATTTTTAAAAGAAAATATTGCATGGCTGTCTTTTATAGAAAGATTTTTCAATTGTACATTTTAAAACAGAAAATACTGAATAGGTAAAAAAGATAACCAAAAGTTAATGTACCTCTGTTCATAATTAGTTTGCTTTTTCTTGGGATGACTTAAAGAAATATTCTACAAAGAACAACACTGGAGCTTAAACAAAAAACTTTTAAATTATAAAATAAAGGGTACAAAAATTACATTTATCTTTAAAATTGAAGACCTCTTAAAAGATGACCTAACCTAGCGAAAATTTAGATGAAGATATTAACAGGAGTTTATGTCAAAAAGTTCTAAAGCTTATTTTCTAATAAGGGAAAGGTTATGTAATGCTTATACTCAGCAAATTGCAGAAAACTGAAATGTTTCCTGTCATTGTGACAATATTTTGGTTTGTTGTCATAACAAGAAAACTAATATCCTGCATTTAGAAGTTTAATATTGCTAGTTATTTGCCAAAGATGATATTTTAAGGTATTTTATTTCATTCTTATCCTAAAATAATTGGCATTTGGCTATTATCAAATACACTGTGATCCAGAAATGTTATGTATATGTGTTAACTAGTTTAATGCATTTGGAAGAAAATCTGCATTACTGAAATCTAATCATTTTCATTTCAGACGGCTAGGGGTGTTCTGCTAAGTGGAAAACATGAATCAAACAATATGAAGGCAATGTGTAACCTACCAAATTATCCATTGGAGGCTACGTTCTTGATTTTATATAAGCAAAATATCTTGAATTGGACATGCAGTGTAATCAACAGTTCCCTTAATATGTCATGGTTTTCTATAAGGTTCTTCCCTTTGTTTGCACAGCTGCTTTCTAGAGACCTGTGTATCACATTTTACTTAAATTCTTGTCACTGCTGTTTTAAACCTAGTGACCATTTCCTGGAAGAAAGTTACTTTGTGTAAATGTTTGATCTTATGATAATTTGATACACTATTTCATTATCATGGATAGTTCCCATTTTCCTATAGTTAAGATGTTTAGATTGTCCGAGATGCTGTTAAATTGTGACTTCATTAACGAGTAAGAAATGTTATATTTGCAAATTTTAAGCCAGAGATAATATAATCTACAATATTCTAAAATGTAGTTTCTGCACTTTGGGACGCTGAGGCGGGAGAATCACTTGAGGTCAGGAGTTCAAGACCAGCCTGGCCAACATGGTGAAACCCTGTCTCTAGTAAAAATACCAAAAAAAAAAAAAAAAAAAAAAAAATTAGCCAGGCTTGGTGACATGCACCTGTAGTCCCAGCTACTTGGGAGACGAAGGCAGGAGAATTGCTTGAGCTCGGGAGGCATAGTGAGCCAAGATCAAATCACTGCACTCTAGCCCAGGCGACAAAACGAAACTCTGTATCAAAAAAATATAAAATAAAATAAAAGGTAGTTTCTTTCAACCATTTTGTTAGAACTATTATGTCAAGGGGCAAATGCATTTGCAGATTGATTTAATGGCTTTGAAAAGATATCTTATTATTATTTTTTTCTTTTACAGACAGAGTCTCACTCTGTCATCCAGGCTGGAGTGCATTGGGGTGATGATAGCTCACTGCAGCCTTGAACTCCTGGGGTCAATTGATCCTCCTGTCCCAGCATCCTGAGTAACTGGGATTACAAGTGTACGATGCCATGCCTGGCTAAATGGTTTTGTTGTTTTGTAGGGATGGGGTCTTGCCTAGCCTGGTCTTGAACTCCCAGTCTCAAACAATCATACTGCACAAGAAACTGATTAGCAAGACACTGTGCTACTTGGTTTCTACCTAGGATGTTTACAATCTTGTTCATTTTAATGGTTTCTTTCTTTCTTTCTCTTTCTTTCTTTCTTCTTTCTCTCTTTCTTTCTTTCTTCCTTTCTTTCTTTCTCTCTCTCTCTCTCCCTCCCTCCCTCTCTCTCTTTCTTTCTTTTTTCTTTCTTTCTCCTTTCTTTCTTTTCTTTCTTTGTTTCTTTTCTTTCTTTCTTTCTTTCTTTCTTTCTTTCTTTCTTTCTTTCTTTCTTTCTTTCTTTCTTTCTTTCTTTTTTTCTTTCTTTCTTTTTTTTCTTTCTTTCTTGTCCCACTCTATTACCCAGGCTGGAGTGCAATGGCACGATCTTGGCTCACTGCAACCTCTGCCTCATGCCTCAGCCTCCCGAGTAGCTGGGATTACAGGCGCATGCCACTACGCCCAGCTAATTTTTTGTGTCTTTAGTAGAGATTGAGTTTCACCATGTTGGCCAGGCTGGTCTCGAACTCCTGACCTTGTGATCTGCCCACCTCAGCCTCCCAAAGTGCTAGGATTACAGGCATGAGCCACCGTGCCTGACCTGATCTCAGTTTCTAGTTGACTGTTTTCCCAGATCTTCAGTTACCCTCAGGGTAAGCTCTACATTTTCTGTAACTGTATAGGAGAACATTCTTTGTTTCCAACTGAATTTTTCCAATAGTCAACACCTGTCCTTCCTTTTTTAGGGTCCAGAGTTAGTTACTGCCACAGTGAATGCTTTTCTTTCATGCATTTTTGTTTTTCATAGGATGACTTTTCCCTAATACTTAATGGTGAAATGATCCTTCAAAGCAATTCACTGGTCATTTCCTCTTTGAAGCATTTCTGGACTTGTCAGTTGAGAGAGAAGGTCACGCCACTTATGAGATGGTGAATGTGAGAATGCGATGAATTCTTGATTTGACGATATACACACATTCGCACACATACACTTCAGCTATTTGAGAGTAACACAGAGAAGAGACTCAAGCTTTTTAACTATGCTTTTATGTTGGAAAGTTGATGGTCCTTATAATTAACATAATCATTATTATAAGACATTGTTTTCTATTTACTCATAGGATCTGGCATCTTGTAGATTTCTCTATTAACTTTATTAGAACTCCTGTATATGTTCTCACACACAGCACAAGTAAAAGCTGTTTAAAAATATAAATCTTGATAAAATTATCACATTGGATGAATCAGCCAATTTCTCAGGCATGATGAATTATTTTGGTAAATGACCAAGGGAAAATACTTGTAGTATATGTGACTAAAGCTATAAATTATTATATATAATGAGTACTTACACTCATTAACAAAGAGATAAACACATCTATTGAAACATAGGTAAATAAAAATGACCAAGGAGTTAAGAGCAGAGAAACATAAATGGCCAAAATTTAGCTGATTTTCAAGTTATGAATATTAAAGCAAGAGGCCATGGGATAGAGGGAAGCAAAGAAATAAATGTTACAAATATTCTAGAGCAAGTGTTTGCAAGGGAGCTAAATGTCACTCATATATTACTGATGGGAATATTTGGTTGTTTTAATAATTTACTGAAGGGAAATTTAGAAACGTGTAAAACTCTTAAAAATATAAATTTTTAAAAATAATTCTAACTGTAGAAACTAATCCAAAGAAAGGAAAATGTACAAAAATATTGGTTATGATAATAATCTTCAGAGTCTTGCTTTTAAATAAGGGAAAATTATGGGCTATGGACATTGATTAAGATATTATTTGAAAAGGATATATTTAATAACCTGAACATATCTATTATTTCATTCAATAAAGAAAAACTTAGTAGTACAATCTTGTATTTGTATAAAAATGCAGATACATAGTAACGATAGAATGATACATAGGCAGTAACTGAGTCATTTTTGTTTTCTCGATGATATATTTTTCTTTATTTTCTATGTCTTCTACTATGAATATCGTCAGAATACTTATCATCAGAGTACTTAAATTATGAATCCCCCAGGTGGTTAGCTATTTCTATGTTTCATAGAACAAAAATATACAGTTTTATTTTAAGAATTTATATTACCACACAACTCTATTAGAAGAGGTATTTGGTATTTTCTTAATTAAGTAGATAGGCTAAAATAGTGCATAACTAATTTGATTTCCAAAGCGTTAATTTCAAAAACATAGAAGAACTATATTTGAAATAATTTTCTTTATACCTAAAATATTGTCTAGGGTCAATTGTATGTTTTCCGCATTTCCGGTACTTACCAGTGTCTCAATAAGGAACCTGGTGGAGGGCATTTATTGGAAGATTATTGGACTTGAAGAGGAAGAATGTTAATTGGATAGGATGGAAGCAGTCTTTTTGAGCATTACAACATTTGAGACTTCTTTTGTATTTGTGATCCTGAGATCCTGGATCCTACACCTTGACAAATGTTTGATTCCTATGCAAAGAGGAACAAAGAGGCTTTATTGGCAGAAAGTCTTGCAATAGAATGTCTATGTCAATGTCTGTCTTGGTCAATGTCTGTATCTATATCTTTATGTGTATTTGTGTATCTGTAACTATGTATTTATACCTTTATCTCTATCTCTATCTAAACCAATTAATAATTTGTCCTAGGTAACCCCTAGATCCTAGTTTGCCTGTGGTTGCTCTATCAAGAGACAAGTCTGGAAAACCTATGTCCCATAGTTTCTTTTAAAGTATATAGGGAATCCCTTCTGTTTATGGCAGATAGGCCATATGTATTGCTATAGTCTGAAATTCCTGAATGGAGCTAAGGAGCAACTCCTATTTGGACCTAAATGTTTTGTGTAGCATTATTAAGGATTTCCCACTCCCTAACTCTTTTCACACGCAGACATACTAAACTCCAGCTTTTGCCACTTGGAGGTGTTAGTCTACTCACAGCGAACCTGCAGCCTATCTGTAAATTTAGAGTCATTGTGGCAAGTCTGAGGTTTTGCCTGGCAAATCAAATGACATGAAATAGTTTCTAATGTATAAGGTATTATTCATGACTTCATAGGTGAGTAAGAACTGAGCTGGCTGTGTAACTGTTATGATACTGTTTATGATTTTGACATATATAAATTCTGTTTATAAATGTTTTTGCAATAGTGGTCTTTCTCCTCCTTTGACTGGTAGGTAGCGTTTAATCATTGACAAGCTATATACTTCCTGAAAATGTCCTAAAAAAGAGAATATTCTTTGGGGCTTGCCCTCTCTCTCCCTTTCTTCTTCTCTCCTTCCTCCTTCCCTTCTCTCCCTCCCTGCCTCCCTTCTTTCCTTATTTTTAACATACATGATGTATGAGAAAAAAGATAAACTATTTTTGTTTTTATTTGGTGAACTTATTTTGTTTTAACTTCCTGAATTATTTTCATTTCAATTCTTCAAAGCATGGGCAAAACCAAACATTTTCCTTTTATTTACATATACAGTAACAAGATCATTTTCTTGATTCACTAAGATATATGTTAGCATGTTATTTTCTGTGAATGCTCATGATTTTAAACATGACAAGTGTGCAAAATAAATGCTTTCAGATTATTAACATTCCTTCTCTCAGAAAATAACCTTGTTTGCTAATTTACAAGACCAGTTGTTGTCAACAGTCTTAAATCTTTTTCACTTCAAAGTCCCTGTATCTTCTTTCCTATCCATTTTCTTTCTCATAGGTTTTAGGAAAAATGAAAAAAATTCTTTATTCTAAAGCTTGAATTTTTATCAGTGCTTTGTTTTCATATCTTCCACTTCATGTGTTTGCTCAACTAATCCTCCTGTTATTTGGATTGTGGTGCATGCTATTTCCCCTGCAACCCCCCATGTCCTGTGTGGTTCTTTTCCATCAAACAATCTACCCAAGTGTGTCTCTATTCTAATGAAATCAACCACACTCCACACTTTCCTCAATGATAACTTTTTTCCAAATATACCTTTTTTCTCTTCACGATTGTGAAGAGAAAAAAAGGTATATTTGGAAAAAAGTTATTTTTTATATCGAGACACACACACACACACACACACACACACACACACATATATATATATATATATATAGAGAGAGAGAGAGAGAGAGTCTTGCTCTGTTGCCCAGGCTGGAGTGCAGTGGTATGATCTCAGCTCACTGCAACCTCCACCATCTGGGTTCAAGCAATTCTCCTGCCTCAGCCTCCCAAGTAGCTGGGACTACAGGCTCGCATGACCACGCCTGGCTAACTGTTTTGTATTTTTGTAGAGACAGGGTTTCATCATGTTGGCCAGGCTGTTCTTGAACTCCTGACCTCAAGTGATCCTCCCGCCTCAGCCTCCCAAAGTGCTGGGATTATGGATGTGATCCACCACACCCAGCCTAATATTTTTTATATAATAAATTTTATTGTGCATATTTAAGGTATACAACATGATGTTATAGGAAACATATAGATAATAAGAAAGGTACTATAGTGAGCAAATTAACATGACTATAATCTCACATAGTTACTTTTTTTTGGCAAGAGCAGCTAAAATCTACTCATTTAACATGAATCCTCCATACAGCACAGTTTCGTTACTTATAATTCTCATGTTGTACATTAGATTTGTAGACTTGCTAATCCAACATACTTATCTCTTCTGGTCTCCACCCTTTCTGCCTCCTCCTGGTAACCACTGTTTTGTTCTCCATCTCTGCGTAGTTGACCTTTTTAAAAAAACATTCTACATATAAAGGAGATCATACAATAATTTTCTTTCTGTGTTTGGGTTATTTCACTCAGCATAATGTCCTTCAGGCTCATCCCTGTGGTGGCAAATAGCAAGATCGGGTTCTTTTTAGGACTGACTAGTATTATGTTGTGTATATATAGAGTACAGTTTCTTTTTTTGTTTTTAATTATTATTATACTTTAAGTTTTAGGGTACATGTGGAGTACAGTTTCTTTATCCATTCATCCCTTCATCAATGAGTAGGTCATTTTCACAGCTTTGCTATTGTAAATAATGCTGCAATGAACATAAGCAGGTAGGTATCTTTATGAGATAGTGATTTCATTTCCTCTGGGTTTACATCCAGAAGAGGAATTGCTCAGTTATATTGTAGTTCTATTTTTAATTTCTTTAGAAATCTCCGTATTGTTTTTTATACTGACTGTGTCAATCTACATTTCCAATAGTGCAAAAAAATTTCCTTTATTTCCCAGCTTTGCCAACATTTGTTCAATCTTTTGACTTTTTGATAATATCCATCTTAACAAATGTAAGGGTGTTATATCAAAGAAGGTTTTTGAAAAATATTTATTATTTATTGAAGTTTATTTTAATTGACAAATAATTGTATATATTTATAGTGTGCAGTGTGATGTTTTGATGTATTCAGTCCTAAAAAAGGGGGAAATTATGTCATATTTGACAGTATAGAGTGAACCTGGAGAACATTATGCTAAGTGAAATAAGCTAGGCAAGAAAGACAAATATTGCATGATCTCAGTTATATGTGAAATTATAGTGGTTTTAATTTGCATTTTCTTGATGATTAACGATGTTGATTGCCTTTTAATATACCTATTGGCCATTTTTATGTCTTCTTTGGAGAAATGTCTATTAAGAGTTTTGCCTATTTTAAAATCAGGGTTTTTTTTTTTCTGCTATTGAGTTGTGTGAGTTCATTATAAATTTTAAATATGAACTGTCCTCTTGAGTAAGACAGCAATGAACTCAATAACCTCAGTCATCGCCCTTGAAATAATTATAATTTGATTCTACCTAATGTTCCTTAAAAATGTTCCCTAGACATTTATAAATTTTTTTCACCTTTGTTTCTTTTGTTGTTCCTGTATTGTACCTTTCATTGGTTCTTCTCCCTCTCCTCCTTCTCTTCTTCCTTCCAACTGTGAGTTAAAATTTTTTTATATATTACACTCTGTAATCTCTCTCTCTTTTTTTTTTTTACCACTTTCTACTTCAGTTACTGAATTTATATTTATTCTTAATTTCCAGAACACTTTCTTCCTTATTTTGCTTCTTGTGGTCTGTTTAGTTTTCTCTTTGTCTTTCATTCCCTTCCTTAAGTTTGGACTGCAAATGCCTTAATAATCTTTATAATTTTATACCTGTAATAATTGGCTTTACAATAATTTTTTGAATTGAGTTTCCTATTCTTCCTTGTCCTGTGCCTTTAAGATTTTAGAAAACTATCTTTTTTGACTCCAAATTGCTTTTCTGGATGAACTGCTCTGGAATATTCTCTAAAAAGTGGTGACAACAGTGGGATACTGTGAGAGGAAAGAATAATTGCTAACAATTTACCCTGTTTCATACCATGTCAGGTTTCCACCCCTTGCTCCTAATCTCCAATCTTTCTCATATTTTGAACTCGGTTTAGATTTTTTTTTTTTTTACTTCCTCTGCATCCTATGCCCCTGTCATAAGGGAAGAGAGCAGGTATGAGGCTTTATCTGTGGAAGGTTCCTATTTTAAAGTTATTTCTGAGAAAATTTTCCTGAAATTAAAAGCGAAAAAATTATACAGAAGCATGAAAATCAATGGATTTTTACAAAGCATAATATTCTGTAGTTTTGTTAAACAAATCCAATATGTGGAACATATTCAAAGCGTGGCCAAGTTAGGCTGACTCAGCACTCCACATGCTAAGCCCACAGTTACTGAGCTTGTCAAGGTGAGGATAGAGAATATAGACATCTTTTGAATACAGCTGCAAGGTGATGCTGTTTGGCTTCTGGATGGATTCCTACAGAGCTCATGGATAGAGTTTCTTCAAGTTCACTACAGTAACATGTCTGTACATTTGGTCGACGACTCAATTACAGGTGAAAATGGCAGAATTTACTCAAATCCCTTATTTGGAATAGAGAATTGTAGAGCTCAGTTCTGGAAATAGTAGCCTAGGAATTATGTTTATTTTTGTTTTTGTCTGCATTAGAACATAGCCCTCTCAGGATTACTTTTTTTCAGGGAATAAAAAAGGCACATAGCTTACAAGATTGGTTAGCATTAAATTTGCTCACATTTCTATCTCTAACAGTCATTGAAATAGCCAGTGTTTTAGTTTTCATAAAACTTCTCTTGGTGAGAGGCTCTTTTATGTGTAGGAATACATATCAATTAGTTTGCATGTTTGTGCATGTATGACAGATAAAAGGTTTGGAGAAGGTAGTCTTAAAGTATAAATCTGAGAGATATTCTTGTGGGTTTATATTTGTATAAAAGTGAGAGCTGAATACCTGAGCTTGACGAGGCAGAAATTTCGGGTACTTATGTCAAGCACTCAAGTCAAGCTACAAGATAAGCCTCAGATCAGAGGTTTCTTCTGAAGCCTTCTGTATAACTGAACTGGAGAAACTTATGAAGTTGGTTCCCAAAAGAGAGTTATTCTCTTAGAATGATCAATCTCTGAACTTAGTGCACTAAGAATTAAATCTAAGAAAATCTCTAAATTGAAATCTCTTGAGTTATAAAAAATTAATATAGGCCTAATGGTATTTTAGATATTGAGAGTTTGGCAGGCAGGGGTTGATATGGTCACAGTTTAAAACAAACAATGCTAGGTTGCTCTGGACTGAAATAAAAAGAAACAATTTTATATTGCATATTCTGAGTATTAAGTTAAGTAGAAGCTGCTAGAAAATTAAATCTGTACATACAACAAGAATATTGAACATATATAAATACTAAATGCATCTTCACTGATATTTAAGACATCTATACATTATTTGTATTTTTATTGTATGGGTTCCCTGAAGGACTATATCTTAGATTTCTTTTGAACTTGGAAGGTCCACCTATTTTTGTTTTGATGGTTTATTGAGAAAACAAAGCATTTGCCTCATTGTACCCTGTACTGTTCAGAAAGTCTTACTTTGAAACATTAGCTGAGTTTGACTGGTGGGACTCTGTTTTATACCAGCTTTATGTCTATTGATTTGTAAGCATTTTGCTCCCAGACACTTGACTGCAGATGGGATTTCTGAAATTAGTGGCAGGTATACTCCCTTACATGGAACTACTACAATTGGTTGATTCATTTGTCTACTGATGGATAGTAGATTGATTACAGTTTTTGACTATTCAAAAAAGCTGCGATGAACATATTTTTTAAGTCTTTATATGAGCATATGCTTTCATTTGGGTAAATAAAAGGAGTGGAATGGCTAGATTATGTGGTACATGTATATTTAACTTTTAAAGAAAGGATAAAGTGTTTTCCAAACTTCTAGTACTATTTTATACTCCCACCAGCAGTGTATGAGAGTTTCAATTCCTCCACATCTTTGTAACACTTAGTTTGGTCAACCTTTTAAATTTTAGTTATTCAAGAAGTTATTTAGTGGTATCTCATGTGATTTTAATTTGGATTCCTCTAAAGAATAATGATATTGACATATTTTCATGTACTTACATCCCATTCCAAATCATCTTTGGAGAACTGTTCAAATATTTAGCTAATTTTTTATTTGATTGCTTGCTTTCCTATTGAATTTTGAGAGTTTTCTCTATATATGATTGATACAAGTCTTTATTAGATAATGCTTTGCAAATATTACTCTATTTTTATGTTTTTTTCATTTTCTTAACAGTGTCTTATGAAGAGAAGAAGTTTTAAATTTTGATAAAGTTCAATTTATTCGTTTGTTCTTTTACTGATTGAGCTTTTGGTTTCACATCTAAAAATCTATGCTCAACCCCAAATCACAAACTTTAAAAAAATTTTTGTTCCAGAACTTATATAGTTTTAGGTTTTACAGTAGATCCATGATCTTATTATGAATTGATTTTTGTATTTACTTTGAGGTATGAATCACATTTCTTTTTTATACATGTGTCTTTTTTCCAGTTTTATTGATGTATAATTGATAAAGTTATATGTATTTAGGGTTTACAATGTAATATTTTGATATATGTATACATTGTGAAGTAATTACAGTAACAAAGCTAATTAGCATATCTATCAACTCATAGTTACCATTATTTTGTGTGTGTGTGGTGAGAACACATCAGAAATACTTCCTTTCAAATTTCAACTATACGGTGCATTATTATTAACCTCTTATACCCTATGACCAATATCTCCCATTTTCCCTTATCCCTTAGTCCTTTGTATCTGTCATTCTACTCTGTTACTGTGTGTTTGACCTTTTATTAGGTTTCACATATAAGTGAGATCATGCATATTTGTCTTTCTGAGTCTGTCTTATTTCACTTAGTGTAATGTCTTCTGGCCTTATCCATGTTGTTGCAAATGGAAGGATTTCCTTCTTTTTTAGGGCTGAATAATATTCCATTGTTTGTACACACACACATCACATTTTCTCTATACATTCATCTACTGACTGACTCAGAATGGTTTTCATATCTTGGCTATTATACATAATGCTGCAATCTCTTGGAGATGCCAATTTAATTTATTTTGGTATATACCTAGAAGTGGAATTGCTTGATCATATGGTATTTCTGTTCTTAAATTTTTTAGGAATCTCCATACTATTTTTTACAATGGCTGTACCAATTTATATACATACCAGTAGGTTCTTTTTTCCCCACATCCTTGCCAACATTTATCTTTTGACTGTTTGATAAAAGCCATTCTAACAGGTGACAGGTGTTATCTCATTGTAGTTTTTGATTTTCATTTCCCTGATGATTAGTGATGTTGAACATCTTTTCATATACCTGCTGACTATATGTATATTTTCTTTTGAGAAACGTTTATTCAGGTCCTTTGCCTATTTTTCAATTGGCTATTTTTTTCTATTGAGTTGTGTAAGTTTCTTATGTATTTTGGATATTAACTATTTATCGGATATATGGTTTGCACATATTTTCTCTTATTCTGTGAGCTACCTTTTCATTTTATTGATTGTTTCCTTTGTTATGCAAGAATTTTTCAGTTTGCTGTAGTCCTACTTATTTAGTTTTGCTTTTGTCATCTGTGCCTTTGGCATCATATAAAAAAATCATTACTAAAACTAACATCATGGAGATTTTTTCTATGTATTTTTGTAGGAGTTTTATGGTTTCAGGTACATTTAAGTCTTTAATCCATTATGAATTAATTGATTTTTGTGTAAGGTCTAAGAGAAGGGTCCTATTTAATGATTTTTTTTTTGAGTGTGGATATCCAGTTTTCATAACATTATTTATTTAAGAGTCCATTATTTCCCCATATTCTTAGTACCTTTGTTGAAGATTGATTGACTGCATATGTATGGGTTTATTTCTGGGCTTTCCAATCTGTTCCATTAGCTTATGTGTCTAATTTTATGCTGCTACCATACTGTTCTGATTACTGTAGATTTGTAATATAGTATGAAATCAGGAAGTGTGCTTACTCCAATTACTTCTGTTCAAGATTGCTTTAGCTATCAGGATATTTTATGTTTCCATGAATTTTGCAATTGCTTTTTCTATTTCTGCAAGCAATGCTATTGGAATTTTGATATGGGTTCCAGTGGATTTGTAGATTTTTTGGGTAGTTTGAACATTTTAACAATATTCCTTCTTTCAATCCATGAACATGAGATATTTTTCCACTTATTTGAGTTTTCACCAATTCTTTTATCAGTTGTTTTATACTTTTCAGTGAGTAGAACTTTCATCTCCTTGGTTAATTTTTTTTGTAAGTATTTTATTCTGTTTCATGCTATTGTAAATGCTATTGTTTTTCTTTATTTCTTTTTTTGGACAGTTTGCTGTTAATGTATAAAAATGCAGCTGATTTTTGTATGTTTATTTTGTATCCTACAACTTTACTGAATTTGCTTGTTCTAATAGTTTTTGGGGTGGGCTTTAGGGTTTTCTATGTATGATTATGTTATCTGCAGAGACAATTTTACTTCTTCCTTTCCTTTTTTTTTTTTTTCAGATGTGCATCCAATTCTTACAGAACCATTTGAAAATACTGATTTTTTCTCCAATGAATTGCTTATACACTTTTGTCAAAAAATCTGCTGTTTTAATACATGTGTCTTTTTCCCAACTGTGTATTTTGTTCCATTTACTTGTTTGTCTACCTTTATGCTAATACTAGACTGTTTTGGCTATTGCTGTTTTTTAATAAGACTTGACGTCAGGTAATTGTTGGTCTTTCAGCTTTTTTCCTTTACAAAGAAAGTTTTCTTGAATAGATATTCAAACTTTTTTGCATTCCAACCCTTCACCCAGATTTTTCTTATATTAACATCTAAACATCTAACGTACCAGGGTATGTTTATAAAAAAAATAAATAACAGGGGTACAATATCCTTAACAGACTTTAATAGCATTTTACCATTCTTTTTCTATGAAGGGCTTTTTACTGAGCGAGGATTCAATATAGAATACCATTTTGCATTTAGTCATTAGGTTTAAATTTCTCCAATCTGTGAATATTCTGTTTCCTTAATTTTTACTGACTTTGACACTTTTAAAGAGTACTGTTAAAATATTTTGTCAAATTTGGTCTTGTCTGGTGTTTTCCTATGAAAAGACTGGGTTTATGAATTTGGGGGAAGTGTATTTTACCTTTTACATATTGTTGGATTTGACTGGCTAAAATTTGGCTTACCTTTTTTTTTATCTATATTTATAAGAAATATTGATGCATAGTTGCTTTTTAAAAAATCGACTGGGTATGGTGGCTCACCCCTGTAATCCCAGCACTTTGGGAGGCCGAGGTGGATGGATCACCTGAGGTCAGGCATTTGAGACAAGCCTGGCAAACATGGTGAAACCCAGTCTCTACTAAAAATATAAAAAATTAGCTGGGCATGGTGGCAGTCTCCTGTGATCCCAGCTACTCAGGAGGCTGAGGCAGGAGAATCGCTTGAACTGGGAGGCAGAGGTTGCAGTGAGCCGAGATCGTGCTATTGCACTCTAGCCTGGGTGAAAGAGTGAGACTCAGTCTCAAAATAAAATAAAATAAAATAAAATAAAATAAAATAAAATAAAATAAAATAAAATAAAATCTAGTAGTTTTTAACATAGCTTGAGTTGAAAATAAATCCTCCATTTTAATTTTATGAAATAGTTTGTGTAGAATTGGCATTATTTCTTTCTTAAAGACTTGATAGGGTCATCAACGAAGTCATCAGACTCTGAAATTTCTTCTATGGGAAGCCTTTAAACTCAAATTCAACTTATTTACTAGAGATAGGGGAATTTAGGTTTTCTATTTGTTCTTGAGTGAGCTTTGGAAATTTGTGTCTTTCAAGAAATATCTCTCTTTCATATGAGTTGTCTCATTTATTGGCATAATATTCTTCAGGTTTTTTTGGTTATCCTTTTTAATATCAGTAGTGTGTAGTGTCTGCAGTAACATCACCTCTCTTAATCCTGATATTTGTAATTGTGGTTTTTTTTTTTTTTTTTTTTTTTTTTTGAGACGGAGTCTTGCTCTGTCACCCAGGCTTGAGTGCAGTGGCTTGATCTTGGCTCACTGCCTCCTCTGCCTCTCGAGTTCAAGCAATTCTCCTGCCTCAGGCATCTGAGTAGCTGGGATTACAGGCATGCGCCACCACGCCTGGCTAATTTTTGTGTTTTTAGTAGAGATGGGGTTTTGCCATGTTGGCCAGGCTGGTCTCGAACTCCTTATCTCAAGTGATCCTCTTGCCTTGGCCTTCCAAAATGTTGAGACTACAGGCGTAAGACACCATGCCCAGCCCTCTTTGTTTTTAATTCTTTATCTGTATGGCCAAATGTTTTCAATTTTATTTATTTTCTGAAAGAACCACCTATCAATATACTTGATTATCTAGTTTCCATCTCATTGGCTTCTCCTTTAATCTCTACTGTTTTCTTTCTTCTACTTAATTTTAGTTTAATGTGCTCTTCTTTTTTTTTATTTCTTAAGGAGGAAGCTAATGTCATTAATTTGAGAACTTCCTGCCTTTTTGATACTGTCATTTATTGTTACAGATAGCTCCCCTTCCTATGTTCAGCTTCAGGAACATCCCACACATTCTTGATACACCGTATAAAATGTATATGTAGTATAAATATGAAAAGTATTCACAGATATTTCTGGTATTAATTTATTATTTAATGTCATTGCTAAATCTGAGACCATACTGCGCATTATTTGAACTCACTTAAATTTATTGACACTTGTTGTATGGTTTACAATATTGCTGTGAATATTCCATGTCCACTTAAAAGAACAATTTGGAGTTGAATATTCTATGAATATCAGTTAGCTCAAGTTAGTTGATGGCATTTTTGAAATTTTGTATACCCTTACTGATTTCCTGCTTATTCCTATTTATTAATGAAAAAGAGTTATTGCAATTTCCAATGATAAGTTTTCTATTTATTAGGAATATGTCTTGAAAAAGGAAGTAGGATGAAGTAGCAAGGAGCATCTGTGCATTAACAGGGAAGTAAAAAATACAAAAGAACTAGACATAGAAAACTGTGACCTTTCCTGGATTGCTAGGCATTTATCTCTTCTCCTCAAAACTTTCAAGCACCCTCTCATATTTGCAATAGGATACCTGTGTTTTTATTGAATTTTTAGAGATAATTATATATGAAGTATCCATGATTATCATAAATCCTGTTAAATATCGGTATTGAAGAAAATTTGTGACCCATACGTATTTACTCAGTAAGCAATGACTTCATTTCCTGAATTTTAATATATTATTGATTCTATTAAGTTTTCTATATTCTAAATTAGGGTTTTAATAATATAATATGCATGTAGAGGGAATTTAATTTCTGCCTTTTCAAAGGTTATGTCTCATTTTTTATTCTTGTTTTGTTTTGTTTTCTTCTTTAATACATTGGCCAGATTTTCCTAAACAATGTTAAATGCAGTAGTGATAGTAAATATGCTAATCTTTTATCAACTTGTAGTGGGACTAGCTCACATTTAACTACCATGTGAATAGTTTGTTTTTGCTTTCATATGTTTGTTATCATTAAGTAACTAGTTTTTCTTAGTAGTTTACAGAGTTTTATGAGAAATGGAAGTTGGATGTTATCAAATGAGTGTTTAAAACATCTATTAAGATTTATTTGTGAATTATGAAAATGACAAAGTATAGTGCTTCCTAATAATATAACATCATTGTTTTTTTTAAGATCAACTTGGGTCACAATAGACTATTTTATTATACTGTTAAATTTAGTGTTTTATTTTATTTGGGAATTTCTGCGAATGAACTAAGTGAATTGCTCTATTCCTTTTAAACTTTGAACTATTTTTATCATGTTTTAATGTCTGAATGACATACAGCAGTTTCATAGAACAAACGGATAATTTTTCTATATTTATGGTACTCTGAAAATGTTCATATAACATTATAAATATCTGTTTATTCAAAGTTTGAAGGAACTCAATTATAAAAATAATTTGGACTATTTCAGTTAATTCTTTCATGGTGGTATTTTTTTTCTCCCATATTTATAGCCTCATTGAATTTTCTCCCATTTTTTAGTTATCTGTATGTAATATTTACATGCTTCTAGCAAAATACTTTCTTTGAAATGGAAGTGTCATTTTGCCAAGTCTGAAACTGGGACACATTCAGAAATGCTATTTTTCTCTGGTTTCTATCTCAAATAGGCTCTTGTTAGTTCTATTTGTTTTGAATTTGATTATTCCTCTTTATATGATAGCAGGATTTAAACATTACGTTCTTCACTACCTGCCCCCACCTCACTCTCCAACTCTCTCTCGTTAAGTTTTCATCACATCTGAATACCAGATCTTGGTTTACTCTTTAATGTTTCACCTTTCAGTGCAATTTTGTTTCGGATGTGTCTTTTTAAATTAGCATCATCATCATTTTTTATACTTTTTATTGAAGTAAAGGAACAAACAAAAATACACATACTGTAAGTGTTAAAGCTCCATTATCACTAAGTGAATTCATCCATGCAATCTTCATCCAGATCAGGAAACAGAATATTACCAGTAGCTCCAACTCTCTACCTCCTCAAGTGTATTATTATCCTGACTATAAAATTAGGAAGTATTTTTTGTGTGTATGATTCTTTTTATTAAACATTTTGAGGATGGACGCCATGGCTCACACCTGTAGTCCCAGCAGTTTGGGAGGCCAAGGCGGGTAGATCACCCGAAGTCAGGAGTTCAAGACCAACCTGACCAACAGGGCGAAATCCCATCTCTACTAAATACAAAAAATTAGCTGGGCGTGGTGGTGCATGCCTGTAATCCCAGCTGCTTGGGAGGCTGAGGCAGGAGAATTGCTGGAACCCAGGTGGCAGAGGTTGCAGTGAGCCAAGATTGCACCATTGCACTCCGACATGGGCAACAAGAGTGAAACTCCGTCTCAAAAAAAAAACAAAGAAACATTATTTTGTAGTTGTATCGTGCTATATATTCTGTTAATTTTCATTGTTGTTTCGTAATTACTGAAGAACTATATTACGATTTATTTACATATTCTGCTATTGATTGACAGTTGATTACAGTTTGGAATATAAACTTTTAAAAATGTATAAAAAATACTAATTTAGGTCAGGTACAGTGGCTCACGCCTGTAATCCCAGCAGTTTGGGAGGCCGAGGTGGGTGGATCATGAGGTCAGGAGATCGAGACCATTCTGGCTAACACGGTGAAACCCCGTCTCTACTAAAAATACAAAAAATTAGCCGGGCGTGGTGGTGGGCGCCTGTAGTCCCAGCTACTCGTGAGGCTGAAGCAGGAGAATGGCGTGAACCTGGGAGGCGGAGCTTGCAGTGAGCCGAGATCAAGCCACTGCACTCCAGCCTGGGCGACAGAGCGAGACTCTGTTTCAAAAATAAAATAAAATAAAAATACTAATTTAATGGTAAAGCTAAGAAATTTTCCAAAGGAGTTGTATCAACTTAACATTTTCACCAGCAGTTTCTTGGTATTTTATTTAATCTGTATACTCACCAATTATTGCTTTTTTTAGTTTTAATTTTATGTTAGTCACATTCTGATAATGTGTAGCAATATCTCTCTGTTGTTTAAATATGCACTTTATTGATTTTTTATTTTTATGAGACAGTGTCTAATTCTGTCACCCAAGCTGGGGTGCAGTGGCATTGTCATGGCTCACTGCAGCCTCCATTCCCTGGGCTCTGAGTAGCTGAGACTACAGGTGCGAATCAATACGCCCAGCTAATTTGTTTTTTTTGTAGAGACAGGATTTTGCCACATTGCCCAGGCTGGACTCCATTGATTTTAATGAAGCCGAGGTTTTTTTTCATATATGTGTTAGCCATTTGGATATCCTTGTTTGTGAAGTGGTTGTTCATGTTTTGCCCATCCTAATTCCATTGCCTTTTTTTACCTAGTAATATCCAGATTATCATGGAGATGAGTTTTTTTCATATATATATATATATATATATGTATTGTAAATTTTTTTACATTCTGTGATTTGCCTTTATTCTTTCTAATATGATGTCTTTTGGTTATTGGGAGGTCTTAAGTTTATCAACTCTTAATGGCTACTACTTTGTATGCTCTGTTTAAGAAATCTTTGCATGCTCCAAATCCATTAAGTTATTTCATTTTGCCATCTAGAAGCTTGGTAGAATAGTCTGTAGTATATTGTAGCATGTGCATTTTCTTCCCTCACCCCAGGTCCAACAAGCATGAGAAACCTCAGTGTTTATTACTCACACAGGCATATGCAAAGCAAGGAAAATATGTGAGTGAGCAGCTGTGGTGTCTCACCAGTAAGAGTTTGCTTTTATATGTCTCACAGGAAAGAAGGCAAAGAGAGAGAGTGAGGTCATGTTGGAAAAATATACAGAAATTACTATAATTATACAGTCTAGATAAGATGTGCCTGTAATGGTGGCATTCTACAGAAAACAGTGAATTAAGATATGGAAGTGATCAAATCAACAGGTCTTGGTGTCTAAATGGCTTGGGAGGGTGAAGCTGCCAGGGATGATTTCAAAGAATCTAAATTAAATGAAGAAGTGCTTGGAACTGAGACAGAAGATATAGAAAAAGACTTCTCTGGAAAGAGAAATAACTTTATTAAATTTTTATTGTTTTGTGTTTGAATTGTCTTTGGAACTTTTGGATAACGAAGCTTGATTATTTGGAAATACTATTTGGAACCTCAAGAGATAAGCCAGGACTAGAAGCAAAAAAATTAAGAAGTTAATGATATGTAACTAATATTGTTGGTACTTGGAAAATTCCAAAAAGAATGATGTAAGGCTTGAAAAACAAGTGAATTATGGTACTAATAAGATATACTTTAAAAATAAATGCAAAGAAAAAGTTACTATGGGAAAAGTCACCTTGACATAAAGAGAAATTTCTAGCAATGATAGAGTTGATAGTAAATTAATTGGGTAAGTTGGCATGTATAAGAAATAAATTTGTCCATCAGAATTTGGGTTGGTAAGTCATGGAAACACAGAAAGAGTCATGGAACTTCTCATTCTTCCAGGGCCTCAGGCCAACGACTTAATTGACTGATTTCAGAATCTGTTGTGATCACTTTAGTTTTTTTTTTTTTTGTATCATGTATCTTTATTTAAAATCTGAAGAGCCAACCTTGGACCCTGAAAAATAAAATTGTGTGGTATGACACCCTATGAATTGCCTTTAAGAAGTAGCATAGGTCGCTTTGTTGAGTGATAGATGCTTGTATCACTTTAGGCCAGCTACAAGGTTCTGTCTTTTTAGGAAGCTTCTATAGTTCATTTAAAAATCGTAAACATCGCCCACTTTTTGATGGGGTTGTAATAACAGACACTTCTCAAAAGAAGACATTTATGCAGCCAAAAAACACATGAAAAAATGCTCATCATCACTGGCCATCAGAGAAATGCAAATCAAAACCACAATGAGATACCATCTCACACCAGTTAGAATGGCAATCATTAAAAAGTCAGGAAACAACAAGTGCTGGAGAGGATGTGGAGAAATAGAAACACTTTTACACTGTTGGTGGGACTGTGAACTAGTTCAACCATTGTGGAAGTTGGCGTGGTGATTCCTCAGGGATCTAGAACTGGAAATACCATTTGACCCAGCCATCCCATTACTGGGTATATACCCAAAGGATTATAAATCATGCTGCTATAAAGACACATGCACACGTATGTTTATTGCAGCACTATTCACAATAGCAAAGACTTGGAAACAACCCAAATGTCCAACAATGATAGACTGGATTAAGAAAATGTGGCACATATACACCATGGAATATTATGCATGATAATAATAATAATAATATATGATGAGTTCATGTCCTTTGTAGGGACATGGATGAAGCTGGAAAACATCATTCTCAGCAAACTATTGCAAGGACAAAAAACCAAACACCACATGTTCTCACTCATAGGTGGGAATTGAACAATGAGAACACATGGACACAGGAAGGGGAACATCACACACCGGGGACTGTTGTGGTGTGGGGGGAGGGGGGAGGGATAGCATTAGGAGATATACCTAATGCTAAATGACGAGTTAATGGGTGCAGCACACCAGCATGGCACATGTATACATATGTAACAAACCTGCATGTTGTGCACATGTACCTTAAAACTTAAGGTATAATAATAATAAATAAATAAATATATCTATATATATAAAGAAAGAAAATCCTGAACATCACCGATGTGATTACTTAGGAATAAACTGAAAAGAGAAGAGACCTGGTAATATAACTCTTAGAACTATATTAGGGTGAGAGCAAAAGAAAAAAATTCAGTGAAGACTTGGAAAAAAAATAAGAGGATAAGGGTAGAGAATCAGTGTGTGGAGAAATAATGGATAATAATGAAATAGGAGCTTTAAAAGGGTATAGTCAAAAGTTTCAATGCTGCAGTGGTGACAAATAAGAACTAAAAATATGCGATAGACTTTTGGAAGTAAACTAAAAGATGATAGTCATGGGTAACTGAATCTGAACTGAAAAGAAACATTTGAAGTTTTCTTTTTATTTTTCTCTGAGTTTTTTTTTACACAAAAACTTATCACAGATTTTTGTTTGTTTGTTTTACAAATGCAATAATTAAAAGAGCACCAGTGATAACTACTGCATTTTATTGAGCATCTATAATATCTTGGCACTGTTAGAATATATATACGTTTGTTTATTCTTTAGCCCAATAAGTTAAATATCATATTTGTCTATTTTACAGATGATGAATGGGGGTTTTGAAAGTATAATTCAAAAGATATGCATAGTGATGCACTGAGTGGCTGCAGCACATGTAGTGGCTGGAATTTGACATAACACCTGTGCTGTAGTCACTACAAGAAAGTACTTAAGAAAATTAATATTTCTATCAGGACCTCTTCTGACCTCTCCTTACTATTTTGTTAACAGGCATTATTTACTCAGGAGAAAAAAGTATAGGAAACTAAAGAAAATACTGAAGATAATCTCAAATGGTGACAATCTTTTTCAATCTCATCTACACTTCAATTTTGGAATAGTCTATAATATTTGAGAATTAACAGAAATATTGCAAGATAAAAGCTAGCAACTGTTATGTAAAAGTATCCATTTTCCATGGATTCCCGCTAAAAGACTAACAGTTACTAAATCATCCCCACAAGCCAACTGCTTTTAAAAAGACCTCTACTACAACACAAGATGGTGCCACTAGCATATTATGGTCAACACTTTGTGCCATTAGACTACTTCTACCAACTGTCCTCAGCCAATACATTAACACATCAACATACAGGTGAAAAACTAAATCAATTCAATAACCAACCTATGGCCAAAGTGCAATCCCATAGCAATCACTTTGCAGTACCTCCACTGGGCTCCAATAAGAAGGTCCAGAGATGCTCAGTATTGCCTTCTCCCAAATCTCAGGACAAAATTTCACAGAGCTTCTGTGATAGGTTTCTGAATTCACCATTGTTCCATGCCAAGCATCAGAACACACCTTCAATAGGCCTCCACTGGAGAAGTTCATTGTGGCCTGCTCAAAGAGCCCTGAACTCTCATTTGTTGCACTCCAAAGCTCAAACAACGTCTTCATCTGACCTCAACATGACATCATCACTGGAGCTCAATCAAGCAGCCCTGAGTTTACAATTACCCTTCTGTAAACCTCAAACAACATCTTCAAGCCTAGATGTTTGCTGGAGATCACTTTCATTGAAGTCTCATCAAAGAGTCTCAAGTTCATCATTATTTCGCCTCCAAAATCAAGAAATACCTTCCATAAACATCATTTGGACATCATCTTCCTTGGGACCCAAACGAAAAGCCCTTAGCTCGACATTGCTTCAATCCAAACCTCAGAAAACATCCTCATTGGACTACCTTTGGACATCTTCATTGCAGCGCAATCAAAGATCTTTGAGTTCACCATCACTCAACACAAAACTTCAAACAAGTGACTTATTTTGGACATCACCTTCTTTCAAACCCAATCAAATTGCTCTTACCTCTCCATTACTTGACTCTAGGCTTCAGAAAACACCTATATTGAACTCTAACCCCACTATTGGAGGCTTACCAGTGTCCCATTCAAAAGCAAGGCAATCAGCATCATCATATTTTGTCCACCCATCTGAGAATTTACCATTGTTTCAGCTCAATTCTCAGTCAATGTTTATGCTTGATTGTAACTTCCAGACCACGAATTCACCTGTCTGTCACTCCAAGTTTCAGAATACCACTTCACCAAATGGCAAACACAGAGTCACACATCTACCATCACCCCATCCAAAAACAAACATCTCAGGTCAATTATTATCAAGCTCCAAACACTGCACCAGGAACACAGCTGCTTCAACATTAGGTTTCAGACTCCAGAGTAAAAGCAGCTTTCAGTTTTCTCCAAAGACAGAATCAAATAAAGAAATTCCTTGGACTTTAAAGTATAGTCAGCCCTGCATTGTTAAAGGTGGAACTGTCCCTGATGATGTGGTAAATAAAATTGTCAATTCTATCTCAAATACCAGAATACAGAGGGATCTCTGTAGGCAGATTTTGTTTAGAAGGATGAGGGGAAGGCCAAATCCTCATCCTGGTCCTCGCTTGTCATCAAATTATGTGGTTTGCTTAGCTTGTGCTTCCTGCCTAAAATCTCCATGTAACCATCTTAGAGGAAAGAAAAATCCTCATTGTGCAACACTTTCTGTCATACCAACACCTGAGGCCAATTCTGAGGGCAAAATAGAAGTGAAATTAGTTCTTATCCTTTCTCTACCAGAGACTTTCTCATCTTGTCTCCCATTCCCTATGAAAGAAAACCAGCCTAATGAAGTCCCTGAAGACAACCTTGAAGGAGTAGAGAAGATACAGCAGTTTTTCCCCACATCTGAACGGGATATCCAGGGACTTAATATGAAGCAAATATGGTGGGCGGTAGCCCCCGAAAACAAAGTTATAGGCCAACAGCCCCAGGCTATTGACTGGCTGTTTTATGTTAAAAAAAATAATTCTCAGCCACAATCCCTGCTCCCATCCACCTCCTCCTCCACTTCCTCCTCCTCCACCACCTCCTCCTCCTCCTCTGTTGCCTCTGCCTCTTCTGACTCCTCTTCTTCATCTTCTTCCTCCTCTTCCTTTTCCATCTCATCCTCTTCCTCTCCTTCCAAAGAGTTTATGACCCTCACTCTCTCACGTCCTGTATTCCGTAAGGTACTTAGCTACCATCGGTTGCCTGCAGGGGTCTCCTGGCTTGAGTTTATATATAGCAAAGATTACCAGCTGCATCCCAGAAAACCAAATCGAAGCCAATCATCATCTCTTAAAACAAAGCCTGTGAGGAACAACAATACAGTAAAATGGAGAAAGGGAGCAAACACACTGTTCAAATTTTTCCGGACAAAATGAGAAATTGTGATTAAATTAATCTTTAGTCTGTTTGAAGGCATTGATCTCTTAGTTCTTTGAGACTAGTGTTTGATTTCCAGGGAACTATTATCCTAAGGTCTATTTTCTAGTTAAATAATGGACTGTGATCTTCTAGAAGCCCAAAACTGAATCCTATGTTTTTGACTGAATGTCTGGCTTATAGTAGCCACTTTGTAATTATTGTTGAATGAATTTAACATAGTTGGCCATAGACCAGAAATACTTCATCTGTCTTACCCTAAATGTATCTAGCTCATTAATATTCCCTTTCCTCAGAAGCCAATCTATGCTAATCTGTTTCCCTATGTTTAAAGAAAAGTCAGATGATGTTCAATGGGTAAGAAAATCTATAAAGAGAAATCCTTTCAATTATTTGTTTGTAGAGAAAATTCTTCTATGTCAATATCCTACACTCTGAAGTCCAATGATTTATTCAACTTTAGTTAATAAATATGAAGAAAGAATAACTACTGTTACAAATAATCCTACTTAATGCTGACTGTGTTGATATTTTAATTATGGGCTCTTAAGTCACCTGTTCATCATGGCTATCTACACAAATGAAATGAGTTAATAAAAAATGTTTTAAAAATGTTTTTGTTCCACTGGGTCTACTGGTAGTGGGAAGAGAGGGAGTTGCCTTACTTACTCACCTTAAGTGTTAATTTCTATCTCCAATGGCTAGAATTTGCATCAGTTACATACACTAATGACTCACAATCCCACTTGTCCACTCCACATCTTTTCTGGTCACTGGACTGCATATTGGACATTTCCAGCTGGAGCATGATACAGGCATCTCAAGCTCCACATGGCCAAGCCAGAATTCATCATCTTTACACTTAGAGTTTACATCTTTGAATCTATAATTATCGGCTCCTGTATTCCCTGTGATTTGTCATCATAATGTTATGGTGTTTTTCTCATTGCTTTTTCCTCTCTAACTTCATTAATTCTATGGCATTATTACTTCTAGAATCCAGCTCTTTTTTTTTCCATCCTCATTGCCACCCTGCTAGTTGTGGTCATAGCCATTTATCACTTAGATGTGGCAATAACTTGTGTGATGGTTAATATTAAATGTCAACTTGATTGGATTGAGGAGTGCAAAGTATTGTTCCTGGTTGTGTCTGTGAGGGTGTCAGTGGACTGGGAGAGGCATACTCACCCTCAATGTGGGTGGACACCATCTAATCAGCTGCCGGTGTGGCTAGAATACAGCAGGCAGAAGAAGGTGGAAAGAGCAGACTTGCTGAGACTTCTTGTCTCCATCTTTCTCCCGTGCTGGATGCTTCCTGCCCTCGAACATCGGACTCCAAGTTCTTCAGCTTTTGGAATCTTGGACTTACATCAGTGATTTGCCAATCTTCGGCCACAGACTAAAGGCTGTACTGTCGGCCTCCCTACTTTTGAGTTTTTGAGACTCCAACTGGCTTCCTTGCTCCTCAGCTTGCAGAAAGCCTATTGTGGGACTTAACCTTGTGATTGTGTGAGTCAATTCTCCTAATAAACTCCCTTCATATGTTCATCTATCCTATTAGTTCTGTCCCTTTAAAGAACTCTAACTAATACAACTTGTAAACATACACGTTGGCTTTTGAACATATTTCTGAGACATAAATTGGTCACCATGGTGTCATGATGTTTTTCTCATTGCTTGTCCCTCTCTAACTTCATGAATTGTATGGCCTTATTAGTTTCTAGAATCCAGCCCTTTTTTTCCATCCCTTTTGCCACCCTGCTACTTGTGGTCATAGCACAATTGTGGTGCGGCTGTGGTTATAAGCAGCCACTGTGCTGCTTATAATCCTTTAATCACTGCCTGTTGTTTTCTGGGAAAAGTCTAAATTCCTTTTCTGATTGAACAAAGATAAACTCTGAAAATGGATTTCCTCTTCTATTCCAGCCTCCTACCAATGCTTCAGGCATGCTGGTTTCTTTATAATGCATAGAATGTGTCAAGCCTTCTCTTACATCTTAACATTTTAAATAAACAATTTTGCTGTCTAGAAAGATCTTTCCATTTATCCATTTTTATCCTCTAGGGCTCTGCTTTGTGTTAACATCTTAAGGGAAGCCTTTTCCTGATTCACTTACAAAGGGGTTAGTTGGCCTTCCTCTTGCCATGAAATTCTGTGTTCACTCGTTGTACTGCTCTTAACCACGCTATCTTGCAACCATTTCTTATCTCTCTTCACTTGCTAGACTGAAGACTTTGTTCAGCATATTTTATCTGTTTTTTATTTTCTTTGCCTAGTCTTTGGGAACAGAGTAAATGTCCTAAAGTGTGTGTTGATATTGATATTGAGTTAATGCTATTGAAGTTCTTCCTCTTTTTTTAGAGTTATTGAGCCTTTATTTTTTAATAGTCTTACTGAGATATAATTGACATGCAGTAAACCATACATGTTTAAAATATGCAATTTTATAAGTTTAGACAAATGTAAACAACCATGAAAACATCATCACAATCAAGATAATTATACATAAAGATAAAAAAACTGATGATGACATTCAAACATTTTCTTGTGCCACTTTGTAATCTCTCTTCTATCCTTCCTGCCCTCCAAACAACTGCTGATCTGCATTTTGTCACTATATGTTAGTCTGTATAATCTAGAGTTTCACGTAAATGGAATTGTGCAGTATGTATTCTTTTCTATCTTCTTCTTATACATAGAATAATTATTTTGAACAAAAAAAGAAAAAATAGAATAATTATTTTGAGATTTATTCATGTTGTTTCTTCCATCAACAGTTCATTCTTTTTATCAATAAGTTGTGTTTCCATTTTAATTCAGTTAAAATATTTTATAATTTCTTTTTTGATTTCTTCTTTGATCCATTAGTTATTTAGAAATATATTATTTAATTTTCAAATATCTGGAGACCATAATTTCTTTTGATTGTGTAGGGTAACTAAGTCTCTTATTTGCTGTTCATGTATTTTACTACAGCATTCTTTTAACCAACTTCTCAGCACCTTTGTTTTCATGACCTTATGGCTGCTACTCCAACTTTGCTGTTCATTATGACAATTGGGCCCACCTTGCTTGTGGGATTATGTGTCATCACCTGGCCCTCTTATTTCAGGATCCTTTAAAAAATGTGTGTGTATATATATATATATATATATATATATATATATACATACACACACACACACACACACATATATATATAAAATACAATTTTACTTTAAGTTGCAAATCAAAACCACAATGAGATATCATCTTAAGCAAGTAAGAATGGTGATTATTAAAAAGTCAGGAAACAATAGATGCTGGTGAGGCTGTGGAGAAATAGGAATGCCTTTACACTTGTTGGTGGGAGTGTAAATTAGTTCAACCATTGTGGAAGGCAGTGTGGTGATTCTTCAAGGATCTAGAACCAGAAATACCATTTGACTCAGCAATCCTATTGCTGGGTATACACCCAAAGGTATACGAATCATTCTACTATAAAGACACATGGGCATATATGTTTATTGCAGTATTATTTACAATAGCAAAGACTTGGAACCAACCCAAATGCCCATCAATGATAGACCGAATAAAGAAAATGTGACACATATACACCATGGAATACTATGCAGCCATAAAAAAGAATGTGATCATGTCCATTCTAGGGACATGAATGAAACCGAAAGCCATCATCCTCAGCAAACTAACACAGGAACAGAAAACCAAACACTACTTGTTCTCACTCATAAGTGGGACTTGAACAAGAAGAGCACATGGACACACGGAGGGGAACATCACACACCGGGGCCTTTTTGTGGGAGGTGGTCCAGGGAAAGGGGGCAAGGAGAGGGGGAGCATTAGGACACACACCAAATGCAGGTGGGGCTTAAAACCTAGATGACAGGTTGATAGGTGCAGAAAACAGCCATGGCACATGTATACCTATGTAACAAACCTGCACACTCTGCACATGTATCCCAGATATCCCTCTTTTTAAATTCTTTGAAATAAGTAATGTTTTATTGTTCTGCATCTTTCTCATAAGATTAATGTGAATTATTCTCACTACCTGTTGTCTTGGTAAGAACTTATACAAGAATATTACTGATAATGGTAATCGTCTTTGTCTTATTTCTTACATCAAAGGTGTTTCTTTATAGCATCTTGGTATCAAATATAATGCTAGCTTATGTACAGCAGATCACTAATGATGAGGAAGAACTGATGTATGAGATCAAGGCTTACTGCAACCTCTTTAGAAAACCATTTTGACACGTTATATTCATCTTGAACTACTCTTTGATGAAGCTCATAACTTGTAATTGTTTAATATCTTCTGTACTAGACTAAATTTCATGAGTAGAGGTCCTGTGTGTATTTTGTTCACCACTAACTCCTCAGGACTTGGTGATACCTGGATCATACTAAATACTCTATAAATAATTGTTGAATTAGTTTAAACTGAGTAGTTCAACTGATTTTTATTTATTGATGCAACTTACTGTTTAATTTTTCACCTTTTAGCTTGTTTTCTAAACTTTGTGTTTCATTGTAGCATCTTTTTACTTCTTTCCTTTATTTTATGGACTACGATTTAGTCGCTCTGAACGTTTCCATGCTATAGGAAGTTATTTATCTTTTTCTTAATTCTAACAGTATCTACTTTCAAGTTTTTTTCCCAGAGAATCCTTTAACCTATATTTTTCTGATATTTTAATTTGTAAATAAAACTGGATGAAGTTTATAGGTAAAAATGTTTATACAAGCAACACATATTCAACTGTCTCTCCTCCAGCTTCTATTGAGATACCAGGAAAATTCCAACATAGGGAACAACATGTGTTAGTGCCAGAAAGGTCAGTAAATTTCTGTCAAATGTTTTATAGATGAAAAAATATGTAAGGAAGGGTAGAAGGACTCACAATTTACTACATTTGAGGGAAAAATTATTTAAAATATAATAGAAAAAATTTAATAGCACCTTAATAATGCTTTTTGCCTTAAATAGAAAGGGCTGGACATGAGAACACACTACATAACAGTCAAGAGACAGAAAGTAGATCCTATGAGTTTTCACGTTCAGTCATACCAGTTAAGGTAAAATGTTAGGAAACATGTGGATAATAATTTGACAATAATATCAAAGATTTTATAATATACATAACTATTTTCCATATGGTCTTCCTCCTTGGAATTTATTTTAAAGAAATTATTGTGTCAATATAGAGTTATATAAATAAGTAACCATCGCTGTTTGCTTATAATTGTGAGAAATTGTTCATTTATAGAAACGTATTTAAGTAGACTATAATCTGTACAGGTGATATTTTTCCTAGCAAAAATATTTGTTATTTTAAGTATTGCACCAATATTTATTTTAGGAATAGAACTATCTATTTTAGGAAAATATTTCGTGAGAATGCTCGGGCCTGGCTAGTGATCCTGAGCATGTGATGGAAGAAGAAAATGAAACAAAGAGGAAATAGCTAAACTACTGTATCTAGGTTTTGAACAGAAGCTTTAGATAAGGGATAGCAGAGAAAAACAAGGAGGTTATATCATTTATGATTTAAGTGAGAAAATATCAAATTATAAGATAGATCAAGTATAGTTTATATATGATCCTACCTTGTAAAACATTAAAATTATGTGTGTCTATGTGTGCACTTGTGTAATATCTGTTTCATATATATGACAAAGATGAAATGACTGGAAGTAAAATACCAAATGTTGAAAAAAGTGGTTATTACTGGGTGATAGTTTGGCTGTGTCCCCACCCAAATCTCATCTTGAATTATAGCTCTTATAATTCCCATGTGTTGTGGGAGGGACAGAGTGTGAGATAATTGAATCATGGCAGCAGTTTCCCCCATACTGTTCTCATGGTAGTGAGTAAGTTTCAAGCGATCTGATGGTTCTCATTCCTTCTCTTGTCTGCTGCTATGTAAGATGTACCTTTCACCTTCCTCCATGATTATGAGGCCTCCTCAGCAATGTGATACTGTGAATCCATTAAATCTCTTTTTCTTTATAAATTACCCAGTCTTGGATATGTCTTTATCAGCAGCATGAAAACTGACTAACACAGTAAACTGGCACTGGTAGAGTGGGGTGCTGCTGTAAAGATACCTGGAAATGTGGAAGTGACTTTGGAACTGGGTAACAGGCAGAAGTTGGAACAGTTTGGAGGGCTCAGAAAAAGACAGGAAAGTGTGGGAAAGTTTGGAACTTCCTAGAGATTTGTTGAATGGCTTTGACTAAAATGCTGATAATGATATGGACAATGAAATCCAAGCTGAGGTGGTCTCAAATGGAGATGAGGTACTTGCTGGGAACTGGAGTAAAGGTGAGTCTTGTTATGTTTTAGCAAAAAGACTTGGGGGATTTTGCCCCTGCCTAAGATTTATGGAACTTTGAACTTTAGACAGATGCTTTAGGGTATCTGGTGGAAGAAATTTCTAAGCAGCAAAGCATTCAAGAGGTGACTTGGATGCTGTTAGAAGCGTTCAGTTTTAAAAGGGAAGCAGAACATAAAAGTTTGGAAACTTTGCAGCCTGACTATGCGATAGAAAAGATAATCCCATTTTCTGAGGAGAAATTCAAGCTGGCTGCAGAAATTTGCATAAGGAACGAGGGTCCAAATGTTAATCACCAAGACAATGGGAAGACTGTCTCCAGGGCACGTCAGAGACCTTCACAGTAGCCCCTCCCATCACAGGCTCCAAGGCCTAGGAGGAAAAAATATGCACCCACAGGTTCAACACCATGTGGAAGCTGCCAAGGTTTGGGGCTTGCACCCTCTGAAGTTATGGCCTGAGCTGTACCTTGGCCCCTTTTAGCTATGGCTAGATTGGCTGGGACACAGGGCACCAACTCCCTAGGCTGCACACAGCAGTAGGGCCATGGGCCTGGCCCATGAAACCATCCATTTTTTCCTCCATTTTTTCTGCCTCTAGGTGGAGGTTCCCAAACCTCACTGGTTTCATTTACTTCATGTGTTAAAGAAATAAAACATTATTGAAACATGTGCCAACTCCAGTGTGTATAAACATCCAGGATCCCAATATCTTTTACTCCCCAGAAATAACCATTGTTATGAACTTGCTGTGAATCATATTTGTCTAAGAAATTTAGTAAATATTAATGAGTGCATAACAATCTATTCTTTTGCAAGTTTTTAACTTTGAATATATTTTATCATAATGTACTTAACATTTTGAAATATGTGGTTTTTGATCTGGATTATGTTTTTGAGATTTATCCTGGTATGATATAGTTCATGTTCATTTTTTACTGGTTATGTATGTGTACACACACATATACACATATAAATATGTATTATATAACTGTGTAGTGTGAATTTATTACAATTTATATATTCACTTTTGGGTGAACAGTGTTTACATATTTTTATTATGACAAACAGTGCTACATTGACATTTGTTTTTATGTCCTATTTTGCATACATATGGAAAGTTCCCAAGAGTTCTGCTGTGCAACATTTGATCCATGGGTTAGGAGTATCAGTATCACCAAGGATCTTATAAATACAGAATCTCACCCCACCTCAAATGTACTGAATTTTAATTTGAATTTTTATAAGATCTTTAGGTAAGTTTTATGCACATTAAGAGTTTGAGAAACACTGCTTTAGAGTATAAAACAGAGAGGAATGATGGTTGCCACAGTGCTTCCCAATACAAATTTAACATGAGTTATATATAATTAAAAAATTTCTTATAGCTACATTAAAAAGTTAAAAAAGGTAAAATTAATTTTAGTAATACATTTTACTTTACACCATATATCAAACAGTTTTCCATTTCAATATGTAATTAAGAGGGTTCTCAACCAAGGTTGATTTTATTTCCAGCGCTATGTAGTAATGTCTGAAGATATTTTTGATTGTTATAACTGGATAGATATTCTACATATTCTAGGTCATGAGTAGGTAAAGGCCAGGGATATGGCTAAATATTATACGATGCACAGGATATCCCGTAACCAAATAATTATCCAGTCAAAAACATTAATAGGGTCAAAAACCTTGTATCAATATGTAAATCTTAGTGTGATATTTATATATTTCTGTTTTGTTTTCCAAATCTGTTGAATTTAAAACTTCTAAATATACAAATGATTATTAATTCATTTGATTAACTTTTAAACTATTTTACCAATTTTTAGTTTAATATAGATGAAGAAAATGATTCACCAAGGGAAATGATTGACAGTTGGGTGCCTGGAGGATTAGCAAAGAACAAGGGAGTACGCTCAATGAGAGTGGAACAGAGTTTGGGACGGGCTAGTGGACTAGATTCTTGGTCTCCCTGTCTTTCTCTCTTCAGGCTCTATAGTAAAATTTTGCTTCTCTGCCATCTGAATTGACTTTCTTCGTTCAAAACTATTTTTCAAGTTGTTGAGTTTTATTGTAATGAGGTGATATTTGTCTCTTTTTTCTTACCTTCTCATTCTGCTTTTCCTCTACCTCCTCCTGCTTATTTTCCTTTCGATCTGGAGTAATCTATATAAATTACTTGTCAAATAGATGCTTCAGAAAAAAATGCTCAGCTTAAACCTCTTTTATTGGCTTTTCCCTTTCTTTAGGAAAATTTGCAAATTCATCTTTTATTATGGTTCAGCGTCAAACTGCATTTAGTTTTCCAGTCTCTCCCCAACAACTTCAGCCCCTCTCTACCACCATCCCACCCCCGCCCCCACAGAACGCGTGAATTGGTGAATTTCCTGTGTAAGACACTGAACCTGCTTTTCACACTCACAAGCTAGAGGATCATTGGCAGTAACTTAGCCTTTTGAAAATTTCAGTTTATGTATCTGTAAGGAAAAAGAGTTTAAGTTTACATTTTCTAGGATTCTTTCATGCTCTTTCGTAGAATGTCCTTAAATTCAAAATGATAGCTAAATCTATTCCCCACTTGATCACATAGTATGTAAGTTCTTTTCTTCCTGCTTTTGCTTACATCATTTCATATCCTTGTAATAACTCTGCCTAGTGACTATTCTATTAATTGATCATGTGTTAATATAATAAGACCCATTTACATGTGGTTTTTTATTTTATTTTATTTTATTTTTATTTTTTGAGACGGAGTCTCGCTCTGCAGCCCAGGTTGGAGTGCAGTGGAGCGATCTCGGCTCACTGCAAGCTCCGCCTCCTCGGTTCACTCCATTCTCCTGCCTCAGCCTCCCGAGTAGCTGGGACTACAGGCGCCCGACACCACGCCTGGCTAAATTTTTGTATTTTTAGTAGAGACGTGATTTCACCATATTAGCCAGGATGGTCTCCATCTCCTGACCCCGTGATCTGCCAGCCTTGGCCTCCCAAACTGCTGGGATTACAGGCGTGAGCCACCACACCTGGCCCATTTACGTGGTCTTAACCGCCACTCACATTAAGGATTATTTAAATTAATGAACCATATGAGATGCATAAGATAAAAAAAAAAGAATGAAAGTGGAATTAGGCTCATTTCTCTATTCTTTCAGTTACATAAAATACATTGTTCATTTTATACAAGTCACTTCCCAAGAAAACTCTGCAATCTCTGAAAATCATTTAAATTATCTGTCCCTTAACGCCTTTCATAAAAAAAGAAATGGATTTAATTATTGTCTTAGTCATTTGGGCTGCTGTAACAAGATACCATAAAGTAGTGGCTTATAGACAACAGAAATTTATTTCTTACAGGAGACTAAGTCCAAGATCAAAGTGCTGGCAGATTCAGTGTCGGTCAGGATCCACTTCTTAGTTCTAGAGGAACCTTCTCATTGTGTCCTCACATGGCTCTCCTCTCTTTAGCTGCTTATAAAGGTATTAATCCATTCATGACTTAATCAGCTCCCCCAAACTCCACCTCCTAATTGTCACATTGGAGAATAGGTTTTGACATATGCATTTTGGAGGGACACAAACATTCACATGTTATATTATCTCTCAGTTATATTATCTCTCAGGTCTGCATATTCGTTTCTCTTCCAGTTTGAAAACATAGAAGTTCACTTTAACATTAAGGGATAGCAATCATGCGCTTTGCACTCTTAGGCTCAGACACACTCACATTCTGGTTCTGTCACTAACTGCGCAGCTTTGGAAAGTATTTAATCACTGTGAAAATCCGTTCCCTCAATAAGGAGGGATAATAGATGGTGAGAATTTGGCACACAGTAATTCTGAAATAAATAGCATCATTCCTTAATTTATTAATATTTTGTTACATTTTCAAATATTTATTGATCCATGGGGCTTTAAAAATTACAGTTTGGTTACACAATTTATCCATTTTTTGATGATTTAGAATAATAATGACCTGAGATCCATATTCAAAGCATTAATTACAAGATTCCTTGGCAGTCCCTCTTCTACCTGTAAATCTTTATATTCTACTTTGACCGTCACTACCCAGGTCAAGGCTGCCTATTGTTCATTGAGCAAAGTCCAGACTGCTCAGCCTGCTACATAGGGTCCCCCACAATCTTGTCTATAGCAAATTCTCTTTCACTCACAACTACTCTCTCAGTGTACTCCATCTATAGTGTACTTCAAACTCCATTTAATTGTTGCGTCTTGCAATTTCTCAAATATTCCCAATTTTTTTTTGCCTCTCAGATCTTGTTCATGTTGCCTAGCCCAATTCAGAACACCCCACTTCCATATCCAACTACTTTAATATGTTATCCATTACTTGAGCTCCACTCTATTAACAATATAGCAACATTCTTGTCTATCACTCTAGGCCAGAGATTCTTCTTGCTTTGCATTTCTATGCATCTGGCCTGGGGTTCTTTAATTATATTTACAAATAAATCCTTTTGATTTATTAATTCCCATTTCACCTATGAGATTGTAAGGGCCCTAAAATCTAAGAAATTGTAGCACATTTTCTTTCCTTTCTTACTTCACATTGCATAGTGTCTTGCCCTCATCAAATGCCTTGCCAATAAATACTTAAATGAGTATTTGGTTCTAGGTAGGAAGTATAAGGAGTTGGGCTAAGAACAATTTCTTTTACTTAAGAAAATGGCTTTTCTAAAGCTTGTATTAATTCTACAGTGAGGAAAATGGTGTGTTAGAATCACATTCTGGGATTTGTGCCAGGCTTACACTACAAAGTAAGAAGTGTTTGAAAAAGTAACACTGGAGTGTTAGACTCTTTCACTAAAGAAGTGTTAATTGCAGTACTTCAGAATATGAAATATAGTATAACAACACACTTTTCATCAAAAAGGTATAACATGTCAGAGATACATAATAAATTGAAAGTGATTTAATTTTTAAAAGATTGAGACCGTAGCATATCATTTATGATAAAAAGAAAGCTATTGAAATCTGTAACATGAAGTGCCATCATAGTATTTGTACTTGGTATTCTTATTCATAACTCAACTCTAAATTAGCCCTTGTTGCTTCACAATTTGCAATTTCATTGAATTGTCTGTTAGAGGAAACATTTCATTTATTATTTCTTTATTTTCAATAATAAAATACAAAAACCATTTGTTTGGGGGAGAAAAATCTTCCCTTCACTGGAGATTATATTTTGCACTTTCAAATTCTGTCCCATATAAAATACCTTGATATATTTACTATAAATCTATAATTCTGAATAGATCATATCACTGTCTTAGATATGAAAAACTATTGAAAGGATTTTTAGGAAATTGTTTAGAGAGTTAAAGAAATAAATAACATTTTTACAATTATCTTCTCCAATGTGTGATCTTCCCTACAGTTGTATAATATTCTATGAAGTTGGAAGTATTTCATAATTCTAGTTTTACCAAAGAAGAAATGGATTTCCAGAAAAGGGCTTAGTCTAATACTATATAGTCTACATGTAGGTGAAATATTTTTTTTAATGGCTAGAACTGCACTTTCCAATACAATGACCATTAGTCAAATGTGGCTATTGAACACTTGAAATGTGGTTAAGGCCACATTTTAAAATTAAAAACTGAAGCAGTGTAAACGTTTTTCCGATAAACATCATTATTGTTTTGGTAGGACTACATTTCCCTTAAATATTGCATCACTTTAAGATATTTTTGTTTTACTGTAGTGTGCATTTCCAGTATTATCACAAGCAAATCACAGATCTAGTTGATATCAATGGATTCATACCTTTTGAATGATTTTTCTTTGCACACTGATGTAATTTGTGATTGACTATTTTATGCAGAAAACATCAGTTATAGTAACATTTATGTAGCTTGTAGCTGGAAATTAAGATAAAATACATAAGATAGTTCTGATTATAATATAATTAACTGACATTTTTAGCTTACAAGTAAGTATCTACACATTTTAAAATTTAAGACAAAACCACAGTACTGTGCAGAATGAAATGAAGATGCAAAAGCTTACAATATGATGAAAGATACAAAAAAAGTGGAAGGTTTGTCAAAAATTTATGACAAATGGAAATTGAAATGTGCTGCATCAGAGAAACACAGAAAACTTATTTGGGCATTGTGTTAAAAGTTAAGTATAATAGAGTAGACAATATTCAGAAACACTTTCAGCAGCCATGTAGTGATTTTGATTTCTATCAAAAAATGAAAAAGAGTCAGCACATTAGTTGCCTGAAATCAAATGGAATATCTAACAGAGATTAAAAAAATTTTTTTTTAGAAAAATTTGAATTTATAATATTGGCAGACTCTAAGATGGCTTGGATTCTAGCACAATAAAGAAAACCAGTTTTATATGGAGAGATAGTAACATTTATTTCAGTTACAGAAAATTTGTTACAGAATTATGAGGAAATACTAAAAACTACATATTTTTAAAGTGAAATAATCTTCAATAAAGCCACCAAACAATGACTCTAAATAAAAAACTTCCAATCAAAATAACGTATCAACTTATAAAAAAATTAGAAAACTTACAAATACTTTTCTTTAGCTTTAGATGAATCATGCATTATGCTACAGACTGTCCCATCAATATTTTGGGTGCATAATTACATATTGAAATGATAATGGATCATGATTGGATATATGAGGTTAAATAAACTATGTCGCTAGTGGTAATTCTACTTTTTTTTTTTTTTTTTTTTTTACTTTTTTAGTATGGCTTCTAGAAAATTTTAAACTACAAATGTGGCTTACTTACATTTCTATGGGAAGTACTGATTTCTAGAATATAAGTTCCCATAAGGCAGGGATGTTGACTGTCTTGAAAACTACTGTTTCTCCAGGCCTGAGAGAAATATACCTGGCATATGGCAGTTAAAAATATGGTAGCTGAAATATATGCTTAAATGAAACGTCCCCACCATGTTAGCTCTCTTTCTAGTAGAAATTGTATGGGATTTGTAAGCAGAGAAACGTTTTCTCTCTCTTTATGTCCCTGTTTCTCTCTCTTCCACTCCCTTCCTCCCTCCCCCTTAGTCTCTCTTTTTTTTCTCATCAAAATGATTGTCATGAAAAATTCAAAAGTTGGAAAGTTTCATAGCTGTCTGGTGATGTCACTCCTGAGAGAGAACTACTTACTGTTAATAACTTCGCATATCATTTTGAATTAGTCACAGCTTTCACTCCATTCCCAGCATTTTAAAAAACATAATTGGCATTATATAAAACACTTTAATGTTTTCTGCTCATATTATATTTTTATTAATTTTGCTCATGGAAGTAGTGCACACTTAAAAGAATTCTGACAATAACTTAATGTATCTTATAGAAATACAAAATTGTTCCCCTCCTAGGAAGTAATACTTAGGTTTTATTATTTTCCCATATTTTGCCTTTGCAAATTCAAACATGTACTCGTTTTTTTTTTTTTTTTTTTTTTTTTTTTGGATGTGGGATCATGCTGTACATATAAAGGACCTGTCCTTTGTGTATATCTGCCTTGATATGTAGTATTAATCTCATTTGCTCTTTCAGTTAGCAGTGGAGAAAAGTCATTGACTTTAATCATCACCCTTGGCCAGCACGCTTATCCATTTTTAGCCCTACATCTTAACTCCTACCCAAATACTGAAATTCTTCCTCTAAGCCTTATACCATAACCAGCCTTTAGCAAAATTTCCTATATGACATGTTCAGCTCTTTTCTAATCATTCCCTTCTCAATAAGCTGATTGGTTGGCAGCTATGCTTTTTTTGAGGAAACTGCAACCCTCAAGTTTTTCCTTCAAAGTGATATATACCAGTCTTTTTGTCATAAAGGGAATTTTCCTCCTTGATTCTTATGGGTGTTTCTCCCTCTCTAATCCCTGACTTCCTTCCCCAGGCTTAGATGTCATGTTATCAGGCTGTATTGTGTCACCAACTATCTTATTTATTGGTTTATGTCATTTTCTGAACTTCATGACAGTCTCATTTGGATCCAGGCTTACTTTCATCCTCCTCAATACTACTCGTATTAAAACTAAGATCCTTTTAATATCCTGAGTTCCCATTTTTATAATTTCTTTGTCCTAGTTGTCTCTTTTCACTTTAAAACCATGATCATAATCCAGACCTTCTCACTGTCAAATACTCTAAAATCTCAATTTAAAGCATCTCACACATTTCCTTTAGTTTCTCTTATTCTGACAATATGTTGATCCAACCATGGACCATAATTCATTCACTTTACAAATATTTAAGTGTCCTTTGCCTCTTAGATGCTTCTTATAGTAGCTTAAATTGGTCCATTATAAAAATTATATTGCATACACCCTCAAATCTCTTGCCACATTCTCCTTTTATTGAAATTATCTGGCAAAACCACAATTCTAGTTAAATTCAATTTCCACAGAGTGGCTTTCAATACTGCTTACTTACTGATGATTTCTGAACTTGAACCTCTAGTCCAGATATTATGACTGCAAACTTTTTACTTATTATCTACCAGTGGCATTTGTCATCTCAAACTCAATAGGTTACAAAACAATCTTCCTACCTCTCTTATTATATCACTGCCCAATCCCTAAACTTTGCTCCTTCTAATGTCTTCCTCGTCTCAGCCAAGAGCAACTCTGTTCTCCTAGATTAAGCTGTGAAGAATCGGCAGAGTTGCAATTTTGTTTAAAAATCAAAAAGCACAGGTTCTTTTAAAGATTATTTCCAGTATTATAATTCTTTTTGTCATTGTGAATGGTAATATTGAAATTTAAAAAATTTGGCTCAATTACTATTATTATTATTGCTGACAATTTAGAAGCACTTCCGTTGAACAAATTAAGTGACTCAGGTTTCTTAGAAAAGCTATTCAATAGAGGGAACCCATCTCTCATTTGTTTTTAAATATATCTTCAAAAAATGAGAGAATTTAAATCATCTTATTCCTCTGTGCATTAAAGAGTATGCTAAACATTTTCTTTTCCTTAATTTTCTCAGTATTGGATCAATTAGAGTCTACCAGAAAACACTAAGGGACATATATTCAAACATTTCAAACCCAAATGGAGTCATAAAATAATTTTCAGGTCGTCTGGGAATTTGGAAAAGCAGCTTGGAAATACATCTCTTGGAATTGTTAAGGCTAGCAAAAAATAGTTTTGAGAATGAGAAAGGTCATTGCACCTTATGTTTAGATACCTAAAAAATTAGGATGATATATTTATTAAGGTATTTATGTCCTAAATCATGGTTTGTGAGCTAGTTGAGAGGGAATGCATTTGAGTCACTTTGATTACTTTTTCAAAATACCTACACTGATCACAAGAGACTATATCAAGTAATTGGAAGTAAACATGTCTATCGTGAAAAAGTTCTCAATATAATTCTGAAAGTATTTTCATTAATTTTTAGAATACATAGAAAGTTAGAGAAAGGCACAGTCTTTGGCTTGAAATGGCTTTAAATATGTCAGCAACAGGAAAGGTGGAATTTACAACTAGAGTTGGATGAAATTTAGAATTTGAATCAAAGGCAAAAAAAAGATATTTCAGAGAGACACAGAAGTGCTATCAAAGTTATTAAAAAGAAGAAACCAACAATTTCGAATAAAGACTTTAAAACTTATGAGTCTAGGTATAAATTATTAAATTTACCTGGAAATGTTGTTTTGTTATAAAATACATGTTCAATACATTTGATGAGTTAGGGAGTAAATTCAAAGGTGATAAGAGGAGAAAGAGGGTAAAGAATTAAAAACTAATATTTTTGAGATATATGTATCAGACAGCATTAAGGATTTTATGCTCTTTATCTCATTTAATTATCAAAAGCCTTTGAGGTAGGCAGTATTATTAACCATTTTTGACAATTTAGGGGACTGAAGCAGAGAGATTACATAACTTGCCCAAGGTTTTAAAGCCAGTGTGTAGTGGATCAAAGTTCAAACTCAATGTTTATCACTATACACTGCTAAAACTAAAAACAAAAACAAAACAAACCTCCAAACTGGCAATACTGATAACTGTCTAGGAGGTGGAGCACATAGAACTCTCACACAATGCTGGAGGTTAAGGTAATAAATATTTAAATATACATCTATCACACATCTAGCAATCCTACTCCTAGGTATCTGAAAATATGTTCACACATTCATCTGTATTTGAATATTTATAATAACATTATTCGTGTCCTCCAAAAATTGGGAATAACTCTGGCACCATTCAATAGATGTATGGGTAAATAAACTGTGGTTCAACTCCATGGTGGAATACCACTCAGCAATAACAAGGGAAAAACTATTGATTCACAGAGCAACATGGATCTTAAATGCACTTTCACAGACATCATAAGCCTTATAAACCATGATTTTATTTATCTGACACTAAGAAAATGCAAGCATATAGAGACAGGAAACAGACAATAGGGTGCCGGGATCTTGGGGCCGCGGCAGTGGTTTACCACAAAGGGACCTTAGGAGCGAATTTTGGGGGTATTGAAACGGTTCTGTGTTAAACTGTGGTTTTGGATAGACAATTGTATGCATTTGTCAAACTTCATGGAACTGCACATCATAAAGAACAAATTTTTAAAGAATGCAACCAGTATATGGGAGTGGAGGATGGATGGAATATTGATTGTGTTCCAGGATGCAATTCAAGATCCCACATTGCTTTGTGACAGTATGTTACGAATACATGACATAATGACACTAAAGGGGATGAGGGAAAAGGGAGTTGATGGAAATAACTTTGAAATGGCTTTCAGTGGATACTGTAGGACTAGTGGACACTAGATAAATAAAGAACTCTAGTTGATACATTTGTTTCTCTCTGGGATAAATGTTAGTAATTCTGAAGCCACTTAATTGAACACTGGAATTAAACAAGTAGATAATGAGAACCAGATTTTTCATGGTCTGAGAAGTTACAAATAGGCTGGAATAAAGTCTATGGTGCTGGATGGGAGTCAGAGAAATCAATATGCACTTAAAAATAATTATAAATACAGATAGATACAGAGATAGCTACAGATGTGTGTATGTATGTGTGAATGTGTATGCTCAGGGTTGGTCTACAGACATATACCTACTAACAAGGTATAGAAACAGTGACACCCAAGTAGCAATTAGCAAAGCCAGTACCCAGAGTATGGTTTCTAAATACTTTTCTCCAATGAAAGTATATAAGGCTCTTGTAGACCTAGCTAATTCAGATTTGAGATAGGGAATTACTGAATGAAATTGGATAAAAATGCAGAATTTTCAGTTGACACTGGAGAATTTTGTAATTCCAAGAAACAAGGAAGTGCTTAAAAAGAAGAAAAAAGAGTCCAGGATCCCTTATGGAAGAGGTCCCAATGACCCAAACTGAAACAGCTGGAGCAACAGAAAAAATAACTATGATATTAGATTATAACTCAAAATTTAAAAAGTAAAATAAATCTATACATATGTAAATAAATAACAGAGTGACTGGGGAGTAGAGGCAGCTTTTCCTTACAGAAGAATTTCAATTAATAAATTTAGATGAAAAAAAGCAAAATAAAAAAAATCACCATAGTAATAATTGCTGCAGGCAAGATCCACTGATAGACACTAAAATTAGGGGGTGAAAGTTTAAACAGAAACATGCTATTTACACAGACTTTTCCCAAATATTCTATAATTACTAAGGGGAAAACTAACTTTACAGTGGAGAATCCTGGCAGGCAGCACTATGATTAAGATGCCATGTGATTAAGGCTAACATTACCAGCAATCCTTATGGACATCGTGTGTCCTGAAAGGATGCATGGAGAACACATCACCTCTGTGGTATTCTTCCCAACTACACATTGCTTCAACCTAAAAATGTGAAAACATCAGACAAGCACAATTTGAGAGACAGTCTATCAAGTAACTGACAAGTGTCCTTGTGAAAGACAAGAGAAAAGACTAAGGTACTGTTTGGAGGAGACTAAAGAGATAGGACAATGCAATGTGGGATCTTGAATTGCATCCCGGGACAGAAAAAGAACACAGTGAAAAAAAGGTGGATCTGAACCAATTTTGTTTAATGGTATTGCTTCAAAGTTAATTTCTCAATCGATGTTTGATTAAGGTTTTGTATGGTATTAACTTAAATGATAGCTGATAATTGTTACATTATTTTAAAAACTATTATGTATGTCTAAATTATCTCAAAATAAAAAATTTCAGTGATGTATGCTAGCAATCAAGACGTTATTGTAAGAATATGTTGTGGTCATCCCTCTCATTACTCTAAGGCCATTAAAGTGATAGGTAAAATATTAGAAGTGAAATGGTAAATCATAACACTGGGTTTCCAAAATATAAAAATGTCCTTATGGATCAGAAATAGAAAAGAAAAGTGATTAAGAGGTCTGAAGCCACAGACCTACTGAACTCTTAGTCTAGAAATAGGCCTACATGGCTGAAACAAGGTAATGGGAAATAATAATGCTTGTATGAGATAAGAGAATAAATCCAGTCTTAGTGAAACAAGGAACCAGAGAGAACAGAGTCAGAGTGATCATAGGCTGGATCATTGAACAGTCACTAGAAAAAAAACCTTTCCCCTCTTAGCTTTTTTTTTTGTTTAACTACAGATTATATTGAGAAAATAATTTCTCAGACTCCTTTAGAGCTACATTGTGACCTTTCTAGTCATTGAGATGATAATGTTAGTTTTGGATGAGAGCTTCTCAGCTCATGTACACCTTGTAAGGAGAAAGTCCTGGGGACATTCCTATTATTTCTCCCTGAATAAGTAACATGATATGTGGAGGTAGAGCTGTCATATTTGAGATCACAAGGATAAACATCCCACATTAGGGTGACAGAGCATGAAGACAGAACCATCTTTCTTGATGTCATCTTTAAATTGTTCTAGCAGTCATGACTTCCTACTTCTTTACACCTTTTAAAAGATTGAGATAAAAAAGTAAAAGGAATTATATGGATCACTAAAAAACTGTTAAACAATAAAAGAATATAGTGTTTGTGAATACAAATGAATATATACAAATCGGTGACCTTCCTATATACAAATGAGAAGCAATTCAAAAGTATAATGGAATAAATGGAAGAAAAGGGTAAAATAACTTTTTTTCAAATAATATTAAGGGGACAAGTTTTATGGAATAGTATACTTTATTCTTGTACAGTATGTTTTAAAATTATAATTTTAATTATATCTACATTAATCTATACATTTAAATATATGCAATAAAATGTTAAGATTTTCTTGGACCTAGCCAAATTACCTTTTAAGTCCAAAATTGCAAATATAGTTGGAAAAGCTGTAAAACAATGTAATGAGAGGTGACCAACTCCATGAGAAATTAAAAAATATTTTATCTCCATGGTAATCAAAGCATACATAGACAACATGTAAACAGAACAGAATAGAGAATCCAGATATTGAACCTAAATTGTTTAGTTCATAATGAAGATGAAGTTCCACACTGGTTGGAAGAGAAGTATTATTTAATAAATAGAACTGGGATTACTGGCTAGCCATATGGAAAAAACCTGTATTATAGTTTATTTCTCACAAGTAAATAAATTTCAGATGACTCACAATTATTGTATAAAACATGAAACCATATAAATAAATAACAGAAAGTATGGATACTTTTTATGATCTTGAAATGGGATAGCTTCTGTAAACACAAAAGTAAAAAACAGTCTTAAAAGAGAAATATGCTAGATCTGATGTGCAAAAATTAGAATTGTGGGTGTATAGAAAAAGACTAAAATGTAGTCAAAAGAGAACATAGGATATTTTATTTACTTAACGAGTGCTCATAAACCAATAAACTTCTGATAAAATTATGTGTAAAGAACTATTCAACAACAAAACATTACATTGATTTTGAAATGTGTAAAAATATGCTCAAATTCAATCATAATAATAAAAATAGCAATGAAAACAACACCATTTACCCACAATGTATTGATGAGAATCTTTGAGAATGAGAAACATTCATTGTCATAAATTGTGTAGAGAATTTAAATTGGAACAATCTCTTGAGAGAGTAATTTGGCAAACTATATCAATATAAAAAAATACATATAATTTGATTCAGCAATTCTACTCTAGGAATTTATCCAACAGTTGTACTTTTACATGTGAACTATATATATGCCAATGTATTTATTGCAGCATTATTTGCCTTAGCAAAATAATAGAAACAAAGTAGTTGTCTATTATTAGGTAGCTAATAAAATAAACTGTAGTGTATTCGTACAATGAAATGCTACATAGTCAAGTAAAATTATTTTCTATGAGATTGAATGATATTTGAGATATATTGTTGAGTCAAAGAAACAAAATAGAAAAACTTCAGTCCTTAGTGTCTGTTAGGTCCTGTTATAGACACTAGCGATTTCAATAGTGAATGAGATAGAGTCCCTTACCTTAAGTCACTTATCTTCTAATAGTGAAAGACAGGCAACAAAAATGTAAGCAAAATAATTATTGTAAAAGATAATCTAAAATACAGTGAACTACTGTAGAGAAGATAAAACAATGTAAAGTGACCCAAAGTGGTTATGGGTACTGCTTTGGCTTTGGCTGGGGTCGGGGGGATAGTGGGGCGTGATGTTTTTTTTATCTAAGGTTTTGGAGTAAGGTTTCATTAAATACAGCAAAATGCCAGTTCGACCATTCATAGAAATATGCTACCTTTTGCATTTGTTAAAAAGATTCTCTATCTCTTTCCATATTGATTCATTTATATATTCACAAATCGTCTCTGCAATAATAAATAACAAACTACTAACAGTGGTTGCCTCTGGGAAAATGAAGGACTAAGATGTAAGAAACAGATTTTTCATATTCCCATTTGTATAGTTTACAATTTTTGGAAACCACATTGTGCATATTATCTACTGAAATAACTATAAATAAATACATACATAGAAGTCTTACATTCTTATCTTTCCTCAGTTCTTACATGTTGGTGATGATTTGGCATAGTTTTAAGATGGCAATAATTTTAACAAGGTAAATAAAAAAGAAATATGTTTCCAGGGACATAGATGACGCTGGAAACCATCATTCTCAGCAAACTAACACAAGAACAGAAAATCAAACACCGCATGTTCTCACTCGTAAGTGGGAGTGGATCAATGAGAGCAGATGGACACAGGGAGGGGAACAGGAAGGGCCTGTCATGGGGTGGGGGACTAGGGGAGGGAAAGCATTAGGAGAAATACCTAATGTAGATGATGGGTTGATGGGTGCAACAAACCACCATGGCACGTGTATACCTATGTAACAAACCTGCATGTTCTGCACATGTATCCCAGAACTTAAAGTATAATAAAATAAAATAAATAAATAAGCCATAAAAAGAAGTATCTTTCATGAAATATTTTTAGGGTATAAACGAAAATGCCTTTTGAAAAATCAATTGACATAATTTCACATATATATTTCTTTTTACTAAATATTATCTTAGGAGGAATATTGTTTGAAGTGGGAATGTGTATTGGATATTGGAAAATTAAAATTATATCTAATTTTGGACATCACTAGATACATTACCTTGTCCATTTTTATTGTAATGAGCTTAATAAGACAGATAAATGAGCATAACAAGGATATAGCAGAATTTCTGCCTCACATGCATCCCTCCATGTGTAAGTGTGATAATACAGTGTTTTGGAAAGACTTCTAAAACTTTATTGAAGATTCAATGTTAGAAGATTGATAGACCAGTAAAAAAGAGTGATTTTATTTGCTCCAAAACTATTTCATACTTTAAAACATTTTTAATCTTTAAGCATATGAAATCATGTTATTGCTTATTATAACTCTGATAATGCACCCAGTAGGGTCTCAATATAGAATGCATAATGTATTTTCTACATAAGTTTAAAATACAAATATATTAACTTAATTCTGCAAATAATTTAATGTGTAGGTTGCTTGTTTCTTCCAAACAAACGTTTCATACTTTTCTTGGTCTTAGGTATAAAGATGTTATAAGGAGCACATGGTAAAAATTTGTAGGTTTTTTTAAACTACTATTTTGAGGGAAAACAGAACATGAGATAAATTTATTCCATATACTATTTTTCTTGGATGAAATTTCAGCAGACTGGTGAAATATCTATTGGAAAATGTAGTGACAGCTAAACTATTTGCTATAGAAATCTTGAAATCTTTCTTCTCAAATGCAGCATGAAATTCTGTTTCAATTTCAGATATTTCACTGTTAAAATATTCTCACAGAATAACTCTTATTTAGAAGTTGGAAATCAAGTGACATACTAAAGTGAGCTGAATCACAAGGATAAACATATTTTATTAAAAATATTCTGACATAATTAGCAATAACTAGCAAGAGTTTGCAAATTAAGGCTATAAAAGTGCAAACTTATATCCTGTGCTATAATATGTGGCACTTATCTCTCTTTAATTATTATGTTTATTTATTTCATTTGAAGGTCTTCTTAAATTAATTTTACTTTATTTGGAAATTTCACCCATAGCATCACAAATAATAGAAATTTCCACCATTTAAAAATACCTCTCACTTTGTCTCTGTCTCTCCCTGTTTCTCTCTCTCTTGCTCCCCCATATATATTTAAATTATATGTATTTATAATTTCTACCATGTCAGAAAGAAAACACACTGGATTTTAATTTGGAAAATAAGTCAACTATGTCCTAGTTTATTCTTTCTCTTAATACAAAATGAAACCAACAAACCAAAAACATAGACCTTTTTAGATCCTATACTCCCTGCATTTACCAATCTATCTCTATATTCTCCTTTAGAGACAATTTTCTAGTACATTATATACTCAAATTGTCTTTATTTTCTTATCTTCTATTTGCTACTATTTGCTATTATGTACGACTTCTACAATCACTATTGTCTTTACCTGAAGTTATATACTTCTGAAACTATTTTTGCTAAAGTCATCAATGGCCTCCTTTTGTTTAACCTATTTATGCCTGAGGTTGCAATTTTTTTTTTTTTGGAGAAAAATCAGACCTTGGTGATTATCTAGAGCAGTAGGATATAAATAATTCCCACAAGCTTAGCGTTCCAATAATGGAACACTAGGCATAAATGGGCTTATCCAATAAGCATATTTCAGTCATTGTCTTACTTCCTCTCTAATAAAGTACCAGCATTTTTCTCACTTTAAAAATAGTATTTTTCACTGGCTTCAGAACACCACATCTTCTTGGCTTTACTTAATAATTTACTGCATTTAACAGAAAAGTATTGAAACAATGGTTAAAACAAAACATATATTTTGTTCTCATACAAAATAGTTCTGAAGTTAGGAAGTGCAGCGCAATCTGGCAGCTTCAGGGTATTATTGAGGATCTAGGACCCTACTTTGCAGTGCCATCCCTCAAGGTACCTTTGGTCCAATGTGGCTATTGGAGCTCCAGCTATTATGTCTACATTGAAAGTCAGAAGAAGGAGACAGATAAGAGGGCAAAAGTGATCTTCATTTCAAATGCGTAAGCTGACTTCTTACTACTCTACACTCTACTCTTGGGGAGAACAAAGTCATGTTGTAATGTCTAATACAAAGAAGGCTGGGAAATAAAATATTTTAATGGTAACATCATCATCTGGAATAAAATTTGAATTATTTTAAAGAATAAAGAGAAGACAGATATTGATTGTGATTAGCCATCTTGGCTCCTGTATATCTACCTTCTTTCTCCTGTCTCTACAACCTCACCTTTTATATTAACTTCTTTTAATCAATATTTAAGCATTTTGAATCCTATCCTGTCTTAAAAAAGAATAAATATAGCCACACTGCCAGATTTCAAATCTCAGCTTCACCATTTATTAGCTTTGGGATCCTAGGAAGTGACTTAATCTCTGCATTCTCCAGTTTTCTCCCTCATATAATAGTAATGATAGTAGGCATTATGTCCTAGAGTTGTTGAGTGATCGAAATAAGTCTAAATAATCTTAGTATTTATAATATACTATGGTAGTATTGCCTTGGCACATAGTATGTGTTGTACTACTCATACTAATGCTGCTGATAACGTTTGCATTCACCACTAACAATCCAACCTATGAAGAATGTGAGTCTGAATTCTGGATCCTCTTAGAGTGAGCATGCTAGCAGGAGAAATACATGACCCTTGTATTTACCATCACTTTTGCCAAAAGAGAAAACAACCATTTAATGTTCACTCTTCTTAAATCAAATTTTCAGACTAAATTAATACATGTTTTCCCTCTCTGTTTTCAGCAAAAACATGGAAGTCCTGCATCATAAATTCTCCAAAAACATCACCTAAATTCTTTGTTGTACTGATTCAGCCCCCACTCTTAATCTGCTGCTTTATTGCAGAAATCCTTTCACTGTGCCCACCAGAATCACAGTTTCATAACTAGCAAAATCCCTTCAATTTGCAAACTTTTCTAAGAATGTTTTCTTAATGTCCTTATCTTAAGTGAAACCCCCTCTTTCATGTGGAAATTTATCGGGCATAATGTTTTCAAGAAGTGCCTGTTTCTTTTTTCAAACTTCAAGGACGTAAGGTGAGAATTATGTTATTCCTCCCCTCATTGTTAAATCCAGATCATTGTCATCCAGTGTTTCACAAAACTGAAACCAAAACATAGCTAAGACCTTCATATATATCACCTAATCCCTCCTTGTTCTTGTCATTTGATGGCTTCCAGATAATTCTCTCTAATCTTTAAAAGATTTCAACATATATTTTACGGTCTCTCCTTAAGAACAGAAGCATTGCTGTCTTCTTGGGTCACTTCAATGCTCAAGTAGTTTATTTAACCTCACATGTAGTACTTGACCTTCTTATCACCAGAGTCATCCGCATTTATTCTCTTTCAACTTCCTACTCCATTTTATCTGCCCTAATATCTTCAGCAGCCCACTGTGTCCACAGGTTTCTCTCATATTTTGTTTATTTAAGTACTCCCACTATAATTTTTCACTGCAATCAAACTGTAGTCTATTGAAATTTTTTATCTTAATACATTGGCCATCTCCTTTTTTTCATTTTCTTGTTATTCAGCTTAGATTAATTGGGTCATATTTCCAAGAATTATCTTTCCAATATCACAAACTTTCTTGACTCTCTTTTTCAATTGTATCCATTTGACAAAATCCCTATCCTGAAAGAAACCTATCATACAATTTCTTTGTACTTGAACCCAAGTAGTCCAGCAGTATAGCAAGGAGTTAGCTACTAAGGCCTGGTTTCACTGAAAATGTATGATCACTGATCTTAAATGAGCCCCTCAACATTGCTCAGAAGTATTAGTACACGACTTTGAAAAACGGACCATAATTCCATTTAAACAATGCCCTCTTCAAACCTTCTCCACTCTACTGAAATTTTCAATTTTCTCATCGTCCTCAATCAGTTTCAGTAATTACTCACCTTCTGATTAACTGAAAAAAAGGATTTGCCAGAGGATAACTCTCTCAGCCTGATGATACCAAATATACACACAGACTTACATCTGTCCACATCCTATATTTTCCTGCTACTAACAATGTCAAGGCAATGTCCTCCTTTCATATAAGAGGGATGCTACCACTGGTGTTTAGGATGTCAACTTCACTGCAGGGAATTTACAAAAAAGATTATACTTTCTTTCTCCTATATATTAAGCTCCCATTTTAATAAATCTTGTTTTGGTTTCCTTTAGTACTCTCCCATTAAAACAAATAAGAAAACAAGAAAACAGTCTCATTGGACACTCCACTTCCATTATTCTTGTTAATCTCCTAAAATTTAAACTTCTGAAAGAATTTGTCTCTACTGTCTGTCACTATTTCCTAACTTCCAGATCAGTCATTGACCTAATCAGACTGGCATCTTTCTGCTGTTCTCTTCACTATATTAGCTTCCCCCATCAGCTTTATTGAGGTATAATTGAATAAAAATTGTATGTTTATATTTAAGATGTACAACTTGATGTTTTGATACATACATGCACTGTGAAATAATCACCACAGTGAAGCTAATAAACATATTCATCACTTCAATAAGTTACCATTTTTTTCTTTTGCTTTTTTTTCATATGACGAATACGCTTAAGATCCATCTTCCTTGCAAATTTTAAGTACACCATACAGTATCGATAACTATAGTTCATTGGATTTTCAGAATTTAATCATCTTGCAAACTGAAACTTAGTAGCCTGTGACCAAAACTTCTTCATTTTTCCCTGCCCCCAGCCCTGACAACTACCATTCTACTTTCTGCTTGTATGAGTTTGACTATTTCACATTCCACACAAAAGTGATATCGTGCAATATTTGTCTTTGTGTGGCTTATTTCACTTAGCATAATGTCCTCTAGGTTCATCCATGTTTTTTGCAAATGGCAGGATTTCCTTTATTTTTATTATTATTTATTATTATTATACTTTAAGTTCTAGGGTACATGTGCACAAAGTACAGGTTTGTTACACATGTATACATGTGCCATGTTGATTTACTGCTCCCATTAACTCATCATTTACATTAGGTATATCTCCTAATGCTATCCCTCCCCACTCCCCCAACCCACAACAGGCCCTGGTGTGTGATATTCCCTGCCCTCAGTCCAAGTGTTCTCATTGTTCAATTCCCACCTATAAGTGAGAACACACGGTGTTTGGTTTTCTGTCTTTGTGATAGTTTGCTCAGAATGATGGTTTCCAGCTTCATCCATGTTGCTACAAAGGACATGAACTCATCATTTTTTATGACTATGCAGTATTCCATGGTATATATGTGCCACATTTTCTTAATCCAGTCTATCATTGATGGACATTTGGGTTGGTTCCAAGTCTTTGCTATTTTGAATAGTGCTGCAATAAACATACGTGTGCATGTGTCTTTTTTTAAATTATACTTTAAGTTCTAGGGTACGTGTGCACATGTGCAGGTTTGTTACATATACATGTGCTGTGTTTGTGTGCTGCACCCATTAA